>NC_000004.12:154678956-154981987 GCF_000001405.40 Homo sapiens | reverse complement strand
ACAATGTGATGTTTTGATCTATGTATACAGTGGGAAGATTCAATCAAGCTAATTAACTATCCATTACCCCACCAATTTATCATCTTTTTGTGGTGAGAATGTTAAAATTTATTAGCAATTTTGAAATATAGAAAACATGATTATTAACCGTGGTCAATTTTGATATTGTAACTTCTATTTTATGTTTTTAAATTGATTTTCTAAGTCTTAAATATTTTTAAGGTTTCAAATATTTTAGCCAAATAGATAAAACAGCTCTGAAAACCCCTCAAAAACGGTTAAGTAGGAACAAAAGCTACCACTCTATCTCACCCTTTAACAGTTGCAGACAGATACTAAGAATTCAAATTCTCTGAAACTGGTAATACACACCCTAACAACAGGCAGCAACCATTCCCAGTGCTAGCAGACATGGAACAAGAACGCTGTAGGGCAGGAAGAAAATGATCAGAGAAATAAAATAACAAAAGTAGGATAGAATAAAGGACAGGCCAGGAAAGAGATATTTCTATCAATTTTACCTGGTGAAGACTCAATAATTTTCTGGTAAAATGAAATTATAAACAACCATAGATGATTGATATAATTATCATAATCCATTTAACTATTTTCTTAACCGTTCAAAATTCTGATTCTTAAATGTTGGTTTATGTTTCCAAATTAATTTTTGGGCTTTCTTTCTTTTTTTATTTTTTAATTTTTTTTTGACGGAGTCTCGTTCTTTCACCCAGGCTGGAGTAAAATGGCACCATCTAAGCTCACTGCAACCTCTGCCCCCCAGCTTCAAGTGATTCTCCTGCCTCAGCCTCCTGAGTAGCTGGAATTACAGGCACCCACCACCATGGCCGGCTAATTTTTGTATTTTTAGTAGAGACAGGTTTCACCATGTTGGCCAGGCTGGTCTTGAACTCCTGACCTCAGGTGACCCGCCCACCTTGGCTTCCCAAAGTGCTGGGATTACAGGCATGAGCCACTGCACCCAGCCTGGGTTTTCTTTATAAAGAAGGATTCAAAGTCAGGAACCCTTCCAGGCACTGATAAAGAAAACTAACAACTTTAAAAGTGTGTTCTTCAGAATAATGAGCAAGAAAAGCTTTTGTCTGCTTCTCTTTTATAATATACTCATACTGAGGACCTAGCTGTCTCTTTTATTCTCTGGTTTACAGGTTTCTCCAACAGTATTTCTCATTCTCTACCATCTCCAGTAGAGGTTGAGAGGATCATTAACCATCTTTAAATAAATAAATCACCAGTGGTACACATGTGAAAAGAGCCTTAGCTGCATACACGTGTCTGCATTTTAGAAGTCTGTCCTTGAGATTCTGATTAAATTCATATTTGAAACTGCTCTTTATTTCATCTGTCCTTGGACACTTAACCATTGAAGAGATAATATCTCTTCCAAAAAAATAAAAGTCTGATAAAATGGAGAATCATTTTTAAAACTGCTATCTACACAGACTTTGAAGGTATAAATAAACATTCATTCACCAATATTTTCATATTAGGCCAAATTTCTTCTTCTAGTTTATCACATCACTAACAGAGCCTACCATGTCAAGGTTCATTTTTCTTTAAATAGTAGTGAGAACTTAAAAGATGATGAAGCAATCTAAAGATAGAATCCATTTGGTTTTTAAAATTATTTTTCTCCCAAATCTGTTGCAACTTTCTCACTGACACCAATTTGACAGCAATTGAGGGCTGGGAAATATCTGACTTCTAAAATTTTGTCCATTCCTTTTTCTCTTTTATTTCTGCCAATTCAATTCCATCTACTTCACAAAATCCAGTTTAAAACTTACTTCCTCAAGTGTTTGCATAGATCTCTTCATTACTTGTTTCTCCTTCAATATGTTTGCACCGTGTTGCTCTGAATTCCACCAGTCTGTTGTTTTGTATATGTTCTTGTTTTATGTATGCATGTTTTTTTTCCCTAGCACATCGGGTTTTTCAAGATAGCAATGGACAATATGCACCAAGAAAGCATTTTGGACTGCTGGTCATGACACTTGTGAGGGGCAATATTGACTTGGTAGGTCCACTCATGATTTTCCTTTAATAAAATTAAATAGAATAGGAAATATCAGAGTGGAACACAAGTAGTAAGTACATGAATGATTTCATAAAAGTGTTTTTTAGTTTTATATGCCTGTGCATGATTGTGTAAACTATATCACAGTATATATTTTGTGAGTTACAGAGGAAAAATTTAAAAGCCACCAACTTAGGGCATTGATGCTCAAATAGTTTTTAGCCAGCAAATGCTTGTTGGTAGCCTTTTAAAAATTACTGCTCAATATAAAAATTTAATTTCTTCATCTGCATTGTTTATAAAATATTAATATATCCAAATATATTTATCAATATTATTTTTTCTAGCTACTGTAGATACAATAGAGGGAAAAAAAACCTCAGTTCTTTTCTTCATAGAGTCTATACAGAAGTGGAAAGAACAGGCAAAAAGGAAATTTTAATTCCATATATAATATGGCACAAAATCAGGAAGCCATGAGAGCATAAAGTGCTCCTAACTCTGTCTCCCAGGAATTGGTTTTTAACAATCTTAAATCTTTAGAAAATCCTAATCTGTAAGAATGTCAGATTTTTAGCCAAGAATCCATTCTATGTGAAGACCAAGCATCATGTCAGGATACACACTGGGAACTCAATTTGGACTAACTAGCCTAGCAGTCAGGTTCCAAATTGTTGAAGGTTTCATGACCTACTCACTCTTCTCCACTCACTTTTTTCTGAAGACAAAAAAGAAATGGCCGGGCATGGTGGCTCATGTCTGTAATCCCAGCACTTTGGGAGGCCAAGGCGGGCAGATCACAAGGTCAGGAGTTCAAGACCAGCCTGGCCAACATGGTGAAACTCTGTCTGTACTAAAAATACAAAAATTAGCTGGGCATAGTGGCACGCACCTGTAATCCCAGCTACTCAGGAGGCTGAGGCAGGAGAATTGCTTGAACCAGGACTCGGGAGGTGGAGGTTGCAGTGAGCTGAGATCACATCACTGCACTCCAGCCTGGGCTACAGAGCGAGACTCAGTTCAGAACACAGTTGTATTGTATTATAGATGCTGTCTCAAGTCAGCCCCAGGAAGCAGACTGACATTTATGTGCAAAATGGTAATCAGGTAGCAGTCTCAGGACCAGCACCTGTGAGGGAGGACAGAAACTGGTTTAGATAGAAAAAGAGGTTACACTGTACGGGCTCAACCAATCCACCAGGTGCTCTAGAGCTGGGACAGACACCAGGGCCTGTCATGGGGCTGGGGGAGGGGTGAGGGATAGCATTAGGAGATACACCTAATGTAAATGATGAGTTAATGGGTACAGCACACCAACATGGCACATGTATACATACGTAACAAAGCTGCACGTTGTGCACATGTACCCTAGAACTTAAAGTATAATTAAAAAAAAAATTCCCCACAGTAAGAATTTCCCCACTGTGTACACAGTGTCTTGGCTTGTATACACCTCTGTCATTAACAATCAGGCACTGAATGTGGGCTATTCCCAGGAAGGAACTGTAACTTTGGTTGATGATGTCTTAATCCTTGGGCAGTTTCCTGAAAGTGACACAGCCGTGAGCTGTCAACAACAAATCTTCTAGGGGCTGGGGATAGGAGGGCCTTCTCCCTGAAGAAGAATGTGGGTGGCACACCACAGTGTCCACTACACTCTCCCTGCAGTATATATTTTTAGTAACCATTTTGATGATTATCATAACTATGCTGATATCACTAGAGATCAAAGTAGATTAAAAAAATAAACACTGTTTTTTAAATTGCTGCCTGAGAATTCTGAGTCAAATAATAAACCATGAGAAAATGTGGCAGTTCACTATGAAAATAGGTCTTTCTCATCTCTACAATTTGAATTGTTTGATAATTTAAACTGAACAAAAATTTCCATTCTGAAGATACCATAGAGTCAAGATCTTGAGAGCAAAGGATAGGTAAGCTGTTCTCTCACTTAGAAATATTTTGGCTATACTTCCTGCGGGGAACTCACTGTAGGATGCATTCAATTTGTGTGATAACAAATAAAAGTCCCACAGTAAGAATCTGGGAATCAATTTGCTACCTAAGAGTTAAAATTCAAATGTTAAAGTTTGACACTGTGCCTTATTTTGTTCCCCAAACTGAGATTTCAGACACTTCTCTATGAAAGTAAAGCTCAGAGCTGCCTATGGATGGAGTCCTTTAAATGATTTTTGAATTCGCTCAGATACTTTCATGAAACCTCAGAGTTCTGCATCGTGTAGCACAGGAGAAATCATCTAGGTCTGGGAATTTTTAAGAGAAACTTTTTCTATTTCACTGCCCAAAACTTAAAGAACGTCAGTGGGACTCCAGCCTCCTACGGGGCTTTACATGATCCTGCCTTTCTATCAAAGATGAGCCGGCTGCCTCTAACGCCCATGCCCGGGAGTTGAATGAATTGATCCAGATTGTGAAGGCATTCAGTATTTCTCACTAAAGACACTCACGTCCACTAAAGACAAGTTTCTATTTTAGTACACTGAGATAAATAGTGCTGACATTTGGCTGTCATCCCTGGAAATAATTAGCCAGCGGGTTTGATTGATACAGCAACTCTGAGTTTCAGAGAGTGATACTATATTCCTAGCATAAAATAGGACACCTGGCTGAACTACTGTATCCAATTTTTGTCTGGAAAAGAATGCATTGCAGGTGTCTCATAGGATGGAGTTAGCTAGGCTGGGGAAATATTACAGGTAGAGGGAACCAAAGAAAGAAAGGGAGAATAATGTGTTCAGGTAATTAGAAGTGGTTCTGCATGAAGTGGAAGTAGGAAGGGATGTTGGGAGAGAAGACCTGGAGAGGTCTGCAAGTGCAAGATCATCAAGAATTTGACATGCTAGGTAGGAATTTGAGCTTTATCCTGAACATGATGGTAAATCCATGAACAGCTTAAATGGGGCAGGTATGGATATAATCAAATGTGCATTTTTAAACAATTCAGGACCGGGTGTGGTGGCTCACACTTGTAATCCCAGCACTTTGGGAGGATGAGGTGGGCAGATCGCTTGAGGTCAGGGGTTCGAGACCAGTTTGGCCAACATGGTGAAACTCCATCTCTACTAAAAATACAAAAATGAGCAGGGGATGGTGGTGCATGCCTGTAATCCCAGCTACTCGGGAGGCTGAGGCAAGAATATCGCTTGAACTTGGGAGGCAGAAGCTGCAGTGAGTGGAGATCACACCACTGCACTCCAGCCTGGGCGACAGAGCGAAACTATGTCTCAAAAAATAAAAATTAAAAAAAAAATCAGGTACAGTGGAAAAATGGCCTTTCTATTTACTAGAGTCACAATATAAGTTTTGAAAATATTAATAGGAATTTATTAAAGATTATACAGTTTGGTATTTAGGAAGCTTCTACCTTGAAATCAGTAGCACATAACATACTGACGAGCATTCTTATTGACAAAACAGAACACAGCTCTGTCCAGTAATAAAATAATTCCTCACAAATCCAGTTCTTTTCATTTGAAACTTACATGGAAAGGCCAAAATATGTAATTTTTCTGTGAAAAATCTCAAAGGAAAAGATTAATAAATTTAATTTCCCAAAATTTAAACATGAAAATTTAAACATAAACACAATATATGTTACAGACTGCATGTTTGGGTTCCCCCTACCAACAAAAAGAAGTTATATGTCAAAACCCTAACCCATAAGGTGATGCCGTTAGGAGGTGGGGCCTTTGGGAATTAATTAGGTCATGAAGGTGGAGCCTCAGGATGGAATTAGGGCCCTTGTAAGACGAGACATCAGAGCATCTCTCTCTCTCTCTCTCTGTTTCTCTTTCTCCCTCTCCCTACCCCACCCTAATTCTCTCTCTCTTTCTTCTCTCCTCCATATGAGACTACAGCAAGAAGAAGGTCATCTGCAAACCAGGAATCAGACCCTCACCAGACACCTGATTTACTGGCTCTTTATCCTTGGACTTCAAGCCTCCAGATCTCTGAGAAATATGTTTATTGTTTAAGCCACTCTGTCTATGCTAATATACTATAGCAGCCTGAACTAAGACAGTATCAGAAACCATACATACATTTTAAGGCAAACAAGTTGAGACCAAACAGTTGCAACATACATAAGATACAAGAGTTGCTATTCTTAGTATATAAGAAGCTTTAATACCTAAATATATCTATAAACCTACCAGTACAGAAAAGATCAAAGAGCATTAATTCAAAAAGAAATACACAAGGCTAATGCTGATGAAAAGATTTAATCTCATTAGTAATGATCAAATTCAGATCATCATGAGATATTTTTTACCTATCAACTTGGCAAATTTTGAAAATAACAGTATAGTGAGATTGACACAGGAAACTGTCAAAAACTCCTGACGGCATTATGAACTGCTCGTAATAATACCAGTATTATTGCTATTGGTATTATTTCCTGATAGGAAAGGAGTTCGGTAAAATGTATCAAGTTTCAAAACAGGTTCATTTCCTTTCATGTAGTTATCTCTTTTTCTATGAATCCAAAGAGAAAAATCAGAGAAATGGCTAAAGGATAATTACAAAAGTGTCAATAAACCTCTTGATTGCAAGTAATAAACCCAACTTTTAGTTATTCTTGAGTAAATAAATCAGCAATTACAGCACATGCATACACACAATTTTTTCCAGCCAATTAATAATTCACCATGCTCGGAGTCCGAATTGAAATTGGTACAAAGATCCTACCAATGGTGTGATAACAGTTTGGAAGGGGTGTTATGAGGCCAAAATGAAGAAAAACAGTTGATTCTAATATAAGGAGAGATAGGAAGATCACGGCACAAGACAGCTGGCTCCTGAGGAAGGATAATTAAAGAGGCTGGGCAACAGCAAGGCCAAGATGGTTCAGCATGTAGTTTTCTAACTTCTATTAACCATGTTAGTAGGATGAATGGGCGAAGAAACAGGATATATGGAAGTGTTATTCTGTTACCTCTTAAGATTACAGGAGATTTTATTTCCTTCCATAAAATTTTACTTTTCAAATTTCTATACTGAGCATGTATACTTACTGTTCATTCACTCAATCAATGCTTAATTAATCCTTACTCAGTACAAGACACTGTTCTAGGTGCTAGTGATGAGTCATGGAATGAAACAGACTCCTTCCCTCGAAGAGCTTGTCTTCTCCACACACAGATAGACAAGAAGCAATAAGTGTAATAAATTCATCACATATATTAGGAAATTATAGTAATGGGAAGGAAAAATAAAGCTAAGTAAGAGTAACCAGAAGTTCCAGGAAGGAGAGCACATTCAGAGTAGTCCTCAGTGAGGCAGATATACTTGAGAAAAGACGAAGAAGATGACAAAAAATATTTAATTTTTTTTATTTTCCGAAAAGTACAATTATCTCAAAAAAGAGATGGTATTTTAGTTCATTCATGCTGCTATAACAAAATATGTGAAACTGGGTAATTTTAAAATAATAGAAATTACTTTCTCACAGTTCTGGAAGCTGGAAGGTCCAAGGCCAAAGCACCAGCAGGATTGGTGTCTGGTGAAGTCTCAGTCTCTACTTCCAAGATGGCACCTTGTAGCTGTGTTTATAGGACGGGACAAGTTCTGCGTCCTCACATGGCAGAAGGGACAGAGGGCACAAAGGGACTAGCCAGTTTATTCCAGCCTTTCTTAAGGCATTAATCTCATCCATGAGGGTAGAGCCCTCATGACCTAATCACCTAATCTCTTTTTAATATTATTGCATTGGGGATTAAGTTTCAACATCGATTTTGTAGAAGATATAAACATTCAAATCATAGCAGATGGTGTAGAGTTTTGATGTGGTGACTGGAAAACTAAAGGCTAAATAATTTAGAAAAAGTATAAATTTCCCCTTTGGGAGTGAAATTCATTGACATTTGAATCCACCTTAAGGAAAATATACCTGAGTAAAGAAAAACTAAATGAAGTACAAATAAATCATACTGGCACACACTACTAAAAATAATTTTGACCGTGAAAGGCTTTTGAAATTTCTTTTCTTCCCTGATTTTACTCTCTAATGCAACACTAACTGTGTATTTTGTGTTTCCTCTGACAACTAAAGAACCACTTTTCAACCTCCCAAGAGGACTTTGGGACCATGACTGGAACATATCACGTGGTTTCCTCAGGACACTGTGTACTTATTAGTCATTACCTGCCTGAAAGCACAGTAGCACGATGGGTACAAGGCATCTTTTCTGCCTTTCTCACTTTGATTCAATACGTTGAGTGCATAAAATCCAAAGAATAGTTTCCAATGAAGTTAATATAAGGGGCAGGGAGGAACATGATACAGTAAAACTCTTCAAATAATCCTAACTCCCTCCTGAATACTTGCCATTATCTCGGCTCTGGTACACTTAATCCCTCTTATTCTGTCTTAAAATTAAAATAAAATTTGCATTCACAAAAAGTCCCAGACAGAACATTTTGATGGCTTAAATATGGCAGTGTCTCATTTTATCTCTTAAGCCTTTACCTTTGAGTCATTCTTCACACATTATTAAGCCCTTTTAAATAGATATTAGAGACTCAGAGCCAGCAGGGGATCTTCAAAGATTACTTACATCTATCCCATAATCTCATTTGAGTTTCACAACAAACCTATGATGTTGCCATGTAAGTATTATTACTTCCATTTAATAGTTGAGAATGAGAGCACGGGGATGTTCAAACACTTTCCTAGATCACAGCCTTGGAAAGTGGAAGAATTAGAACACCAGGCTTCTGACTCCCAGCACAGTGCCTCTTCCAAAATACTGTGCTGTCACCCCACTACTTGGTGGTTGCTAGAGAATTTGACTTTTTAAATCAGTGAATTTTCTAGAAAAACCTTTTTTTTTTTTTAGTGGCAATATTGTGGATTATTCTTTCTTAAAATGTCACACTTTTATATACCCACAGAAAATAGCTTCGTATTCTTCTTTAAAGGAAGGCTTTGCTCTATCTTGTCCCAATATTCAATAGCAAATGATTATAGGAAAATGTCAGGAAATCGTGATGGAAAATGTTGAGACTGAATATTAAAATTTTGATTTTATTGTTAAACACATTTGCGTTAAAGACAGCCGTTAGAAATTATCACATAAAACCAAATGCCGTTTCTAGCTTATGTTGTGTTGAATACCTACTGTGTTTTCCCCTCCAGGAAAACATGCTACCCTCCAGGAAAGCATGATCTGGTTAGGAGGAGGGGCCAGGTGCAGTAGTGAGAAGCTACCTGCTCACGGGAAGAGCTTGGTCTTCAGGGGCCTGGAGACATGGTTTGAATCCCAGTTCTATGACTTCCTACCTGTATGACCTCAGTTTCCTCCTCCGTAAATTAGTATTAATCCCCACTTCACACAGTGTCTGGCATGCACTCCATTTGCCCCCAGATCTGCTCTCCATACTTCTCTGCCCCATTCCCTGCTGTCCTCTAAGTTCTCCACTCTCAGGCTTCTGGGTCATGCGGATTCTGGCTAATTTCAGTCAGTGAGAAGCACTATCAGGAGACTGGAAGCAAACAGGAGTGAGAGTCTAGGGAAGTTATTCCTCCTGCTCTCTCCCTCCTCTCTAGGGAACTTCCATGTTGAATAGCACCACTTAATGGTTCCAGCCCTGAATAGGGCCAGGAACACCACAGCTCCTCCGCCTCTTTATGTCGGTGCTGACAATGACTTCCTACTGTGCCAGTTCCAGCAGTCCTTGTTGGTTGCCTTTACCCCGCCCACACCTCTGTAAATAGTTCCTTCATTAAAAATGCCTTCAAAAACACAAACTAAGTGTGCTACCTGTGTCCTGCCAGGATCTGGATTGATTACACCACTCAATAAATACTAGCTCTCATTATCATGAGTCCCAAACTTTTCAAACCTTCCAATGATACATAATTTGGAAACCACAATATACCTGAAGGGTAAAGCCAACATGGAAGGTTCCTATAGCAAAGAGGCATTGAGCTGGACCTTGAAGCAGAAACATCACAAGGCAGCACGCACACAGTGGAAAGGGAGTAGTCACACCCACTGATTATACATTTTTTTAAATGACATGTGAGTTTATTTATTTATTTACTTATATTTATTTATTTATTTATTTATTTATTTATTTATTTATTTTTTGAGACGGAGTCTCACTCTGTCGCCCAGGCTGGAGCGCAGTGGCACGATCTCGGCTCACTGCAAGCTCCACCTCCCGGGTTCACGCCATTCTCCTGCCTCAGCCTCCCGAGTAGCTGGGACTACAGGCGCCCACCACCACGCCAGGCTAATTTTTTGTATTTTTAGTAGAGACGGGGTTTCACTGTGTTAGCCATGATAGTCTCAATCTGAAGGAGTATGGCAATATGATCAAGAAACCATGAAGAAGACAGTCAAAAGTCTCACCTATTTTATGTGCTTACTCGCCATTCTCCACTCCAGATCCGACCGACCACAACCGCCGCTTGAGAATGCAGCTAGGTATTTCAATGAAAGGCATTGCAAGGAAGGAATATATGAAAATACAAAAGTATATTGGGCATGATGTTTCTGAAGTAGTAATAGACTAAGGGATTTTATACAGTTAGAGAATTTTGTTCCTCTTTCTAGACATTGTCCCTTTCAGTGTCAGGCTCTCCTGCTTTCACTATCATGGTATCTGCCTGCCTTAGCTTCTGCTTCCCATTCCATGACTCCTTTTCTTCTTGTTGCTAAGTCTTGTCTGCCATAAGGAATATACTCAGTTCACCCAGTACTTCCCGGAGCAATCAATATTTTGATCAGGCAAATGATTTCCCAGGATACAAACTGTTACATAATATGACACACACACACACACACACACACAAACACACACGTATATACATTCTGTTTTTCTGTGTGGCAAGCTTTTTCTTTCATTTAAAAGCATTATTAAGGGATTACTATGCAGCAGGCACTGAGCTAGGTTCTGAGGCTACAAACGCTATAAGGACTAGGTGCCTGCTTCTAAAACCCCCAGAGTTTAGTAAGAAAATGATCAAGTCAGACCACAAAGGTGACCCGGATGTCAAGATTGGCAAAAGTGTCACCAAAATGAGGTTGAAGGTGTTTTTGCTTTGGAACAACTATCCCAGTAAATAAGCAGTGCAACAGACACGTGCTATCAAGGGGCCCGTGAGGAGCTGTGGCTCTCCAAAGCCTCCCAGTTTTCTCAGGGAGATGGTCCTGACATTTTGTTGTCAGTGAGAAACCTCCAGGCCAGGAAGCAAAGAGCTCAGTGGCTTCACATTGCACTTGATTTTGCCAGGGGTCCTCAGCTCCAGCCCCACCTCCCTTTTATATTCTGCTCTATGCTGTAGGGCTTGGATCTGCCAACTCCAGATCTCAGACTTCATTGACAACTGGTTTCATTGCAGGGCAAGAAATAAATCCTTTTCTCCCCAACCCCTCCCCACAAGAAAACACTTAAGGAAAACAATATTCCTCAAGATGCCTGATCTATTGACAAAAGAACAAACTTTTAAAACTATCTTACAGATGGTTTGAAGTATCTCAACAGTGTCAGCAAATTCTGTGCATAAGATCACATTGAAATTACAGAGGGAGTTATAAAAACAATTTCATGCCTGAGTCCCACCCTGAGATACAATGATTTAACAAGAGTGGGGTATGGCCTGGTCAGTGGGATTTTATTAAAGCTTCCTAGAAGATTCTAACATGCAGTGAGGTTCAAGCACCAGTGAAAATCACTATATTAGATCACAGGCTTTTGGTTTTCTACCAAACAATATATCAATTTATTCTATAATTTCATTTTTACTAAAAGTAAAAAATTACTTATCAATTAAATAGTGGAATCAAAACATGGAGTCTGAAGACCTGGGCCTCAGCTCTGCCAGTATATCTATGGAGGCTTGGAAAACCCTCAAGCTCTTCTGGGCCTCTGCTTCCTCAGCTATAATACAAAAGGAAGAAACTAAGATTTAATGACCAACAGGTATGTTCTCCCAGCACTGTGAAATATTGTCTCATTTACCCTGCAGTCAATTTTGTGACTACTTATCCCATTGTTATAGATGAGAAGACTGGATACCAGAATAGTAAGCAATTTTCCAAGGCCACATAACTGCTAAGTGTGAAACGTAGGGATTGAAACCTGACTTGACTGACCCCCATGTCCAGGCTCATTCTGCCAACCTCAGGATGCTGTCTAGAGTCCCCTGGAGCCTTAAAATTTTGGATGAATGTCAGCTATCAATGTAATCAAAACTAGCATGTGTTCAGGAGTGTTTTTGTATCTCAGGGTAAACATTAGGAAGAAGTTGACACATTTTATTCTTTGTCCAAAAGGGTCAAGTGACAGACACTATTAAAAAAAAGATCCTTCTACTTAATGAGATTTAATAACGCCCTAGACTCAGGGGCTTATATGCATGAAACATAACTGCAAATGTGACTCAAGTAAGAAAAGTCAGCAGATGAATTAATGAAAAACAGAAACAAAAGAAATAAGAAGAGATAACAACACTAGGAAGATGCTCAATATAAATATCTAGTGATACATACTAATGTGCAATATGTCTCTTCAATATGGACTTTGTAACTATTTTTTTGAAATGTTGAAACAACATTACTAATATAAGAGAGAAAAAATATTGTATTAGAATGATAACTAGAAAAATAGGAGACTATGGAATTATTTTAACATCATAACAAATAGTTATAATGGTTTCGTTAGACATATTGAATAGATCATTGCTCTCAAAGGAAGCACAAACCGAAATCTTTGGTCTAAGCCCTGAGTATAAAGGATTTTTAACCAAGCAAATTACCAATTAGATATATGGTTCATGCTGAAGTTCATTTTAAGTATCTCCCAACATCATTAGACATTCCTAATAATAAATCATCAGTCCCTTCGTGAGTGTTGTAGAAAACTTGAGGAGAAGAAAAATAAAGGCTACATTGGGAAATAATCATCAGATAAATGCATTCTTTTCTTTATGTCTAGCCTACCCTGCAGAAACCACTCAAACTTCTCCATGGCAATTCATTATTCACTCACCTGACAGTTTTATTTTAGACTTAAAAAAATTTGCTGAACAAAAGAAATGTCATTTGAATAGACTTGAACCATTCCAAGGGGAATAGTTTAGGGACATACCAGTCATTGTCCAGTTTCTTCAACTTTGCATTTAACCTATATTTGTGCAATTAACCTATACCATCTAAAGATGCTTGGAAAGTTAGTTTTATTACCTTTTTATAGGCATACTACCACTAGGACGATTAAAACACAACAACACAATGTTAAAAGGGAAGGGTTAGAAGATGAATACAGAGAATGAGTAAATGCTTCAAACTCACCACATAACATCAATTATTAGATACAATAATCTCTCAGAAAATAAAGTTGAAGATAACATCCAACAAGAGCAATTTCTCCACCAGGTTCTATGGAAACATCAGGGCCCATAGTGCTAAGAGACATTTCTCATTAAAAGGGCTTTATGGGCCGGGCGCGGTGGCTCATGCCTGTAATCCCAGCACTTTGGGAGGCCGAGGCGGGCGGATCACGAGGTCAGGAGATCGAGACCATCCCGGCTAAAACGGTGAAACCCCGTCTCTACTAAAACTACAAAAAATAGCCAGGCGTAGTGGCGGGCGCCTGTAGTCCTAGCTACTTGGGAGGCTGAGGCAGGAGAATGGCGTGAACCCGGGAGGCGGAGCTTGCAGTGAGCCGAGATCCCGCCACTGCACTCCAGCCTGGGCGACAGAGCGAGACTCCGTCTCAAAAAAAAAAAAAAAAAAAAAAAAGGGCTTTATGACAAGTTTGAGAAGCTTTAATATTTTTATACTAAATATTATAAAATTCTAATATATCATTCAGTTAAAAACATTACACTTTAAATTTTATATAGTCCCATGTTTCCCAAACGTATGTGAACTTGAAAGTTTTTTCCACACATCTATCGAATCTATCATGAATTAATACTCTAGACTATATAGCTTGGGTTTCTAACTTCAAGTATACTTTTCCATTTTTAATTTAAAAAACGTTATACCTCCAGTTAAAACAAAGACCTCTTATGGATTCATCCAGCATAATTTGTTTTTCCAAGATTTTAAAAAGATTTTCAGTATCAAGATTAGATCTTGGCTGGGTGCAGTGGGTCACACCTATAATCTCAGCACTCTGGGAGTCAGAGGTGGGAGAATTTCTTGAGCCCAGGAGTTCAAGACCAGCCTTGGCTACATGGTAAAACCCTGTCTCAACAAAAATACAAAAATTAGCCTAGTGTGGTGGCGCACAACTGTAGTCCCAGCTACTCAGGAGGCCGAGGTGTGAAGATCATTCAAGCCCAGGAGGTCGAGGCTACAGTGAGCCATCATTGTAGCACTATACTCCAGCCTGGGAAAGATAGTGAGACCCGGTCTCAAAAAAAAAAAATCTATCACAGAAATATAAATAAGTGATTTTTAAAAGATTTGATTCCAGAAAAGCTGTCATAAAAAATAGAAACTTGTTCTTTATTTTTCTAGAACTATAGGAGTGATGAGTGGATCTTATGGGCAGATTTTAGTTCAATATGATTAAGAACTTAAAAAACATTAAGGTATCTCCAGTGGAATTTACCTTATAAAACAGTATCCTCCCATCGTGAGAAATATTGATGGACAAGCTAAATGACCCTCTTTCAAGGTTTCACCTAACAAATATCTGTGAAGTGCCCAAAAAGTAATTCTGTTATGTACTGAGGTTACAAGCACAACAAAACCAGGATCTCACCTGTGTTAGTGTAGCTCTCCATCTGGGTGGGGCAGAGGAGCATAAGTCACCCAAAGTAATGAGCACATAATTACCTGAGGTAACTGCAAAAAAAGGCAGTAAGACAGTCCCAAGAAAGCATGTATCAAAGGATCCTGATGCAATCTGTGGGGTGAAGGAAAGGTAACTTAAAAACATCAGACAAGAGCTCTCTGAAGGGTCAGGCTTAAGTAAGAGAGAAGGGAAGAAAATTATCAGAAGAGGTAGTCAGCAAATGCAAAGGTCCTGAGGCAGGAAGGTGAATTGTGTGCTCCAGAAACAGAAAGAGAACACAGTGGCTGAGTGCAGAGAGCAGAGTGAGGGTAAAAGAAGAGAGAGTAAAGAGGTACACAGGGGCCAGATCAGGTGGGGACTTTTGGGATCAAGCATTGGAATTCTTAAAACCTTCCTGGGTGATTCTAAAATACAAGTTTCCAGAACCAGTAAGAACCCCTATATTAGATCATACTTTTCATTCTTTTCAACTAAGTTACCATTTATTAACTTAAACTATAAATTTATTTTATAAACAGCAAAATTACCTATCAATTAAACATAATGGAATAATCGGTCTATTAGTCCGTCCTCGTACTACTATAAAGAAATACCTGAGACTGGGTAATTTATAAAGAAAAGGGGTTTAATTGGTTCCACAGGCTGTACAGAAAGCATAGCTGGGGGCCTCAGGAAACTTACAATCATGACAGAAGGTGAAGGGGACACAGGCACGCCACACATGGCCACAGCAGGAGCAAGAGAAAGAAGAAGGAGATGCTACATGCTTTTAAACAACCAGATCTGTGAGAACTCACCCACTATCACAAAAACAGCAAGGGGGAAACCTGCCCCCCATGATATATTATATCATTAAACACTGGTGTTTATAATTTGACATGAGATTGGGGTGGGGACACAAATCCAAACCATATCAATTGGTCATTGAAACTTGAAGTCCAAAGACCTTGGTGCCTAGGTACAAAAGCATGAGAGGTAGGAGTGAAACAATGTCAGATCTTCATTTTGAATGTTTCACTGGCTTCAAAGAGGGGAGAATGACTCAGAAGGGCAGAGAGTATGGAAGCCCTGTAAGGAGGTGACAGCAGTAGTCTAGGAAAAAGATGATGGTATTTGCCCTCTCTGCACCTTGGCTCTCTTAGCTGTAAAATACAGGGTGCTAAACAAGATAATCCCTAAAGACCTTTTTGGCTTAATGCCATCAAACACAAAGGATGGGATGTTTGTTGGAGAAGGATGTATTATTAGTCCAGTGCACAACTTAAAGTGGTAAAATGAAAGCTGGAAGTGCATGAAAGTTGGATTTCTTCTCTATTATTTCCGCCAGCATTAAAAATGCTGTAACAACTCTGTTTTTTAAAAAATCCTTGACTCCATATTTTCTTCTAGCAACTTACACTTTTTCTCTGCTGCCCATTTAAGCAAAACTATATGCAATAGAGCCTTCACCATAATTACAGGTAGATGGGCAGCGATATTACCCCTAGAATTTGTGAAAATAGCATGCTTCGCTAGAAAAGAAAATATTCTTGGTTTAAAGCCTTAATAAGAGCAAAATGGAAGTTTTAAGGCTATTTTTCTTTTTAAAGATTTTCCCCTGTGTAAAATTACAAACATGGACGTTTCTATTCACAACAAATTCCTTATTTATCTTCATTCTCCCTTCTCTAGGCAACATCCATAAGAGGGTTTTGCAGATAATAGGTGTACAAAAGAGATGCATTGCACGAGTGAATGAACAGAGGATTGTTTATTTTTTTTTCTTTTGGAGTGTCTTTTCCTGATGAAATTTTAACCCCGATTTTTTAAAGGATTTTATTACTCTGTGGCCAGATCACCAGATGATCAATGTCTAGTCACCACAAGAGATAATTCAGGACATGGCTCTAATATCTCTTTACAACTGAGTATCTACTATGTGCAGACATTATTCTAGGACCTGGGGATACAGAAGTGAAGACAGATTAAGCCTGACTTCATGAAGCTTTTATTCTAGTGTGGAAGACACATAAAAATTAATAAATATAGCATTACATCAAATAATATTAGGTGGAAATAAGAGCTATTAAAAAATGTAGGACACTGTTCGGTTTTAGGGTCAATACTACCCCTTTATGTATAACATTCACTTTAAAAGGCATTTGCAGGGGCTGGAGATATCAATTGGGTCAGTGATAGCCAGAGAAAAGGCTCTAAGAAAAAGTGTGAAGTGATGGGAAAAATGAAATCAAGATGATGAGAAAAGTAAAAAAAACTAGTTACCATCATGAAATAGAACTGCAAATGGGTGATGGTCAGGCCTAGCCTCAAAGATGTGAGTAGGGTGGGGGCACAGCATATAAATATCTGAGAAAGAGCATTCCAGGCACCAGCAACAACAGTTACAAAGCCCTGGTAGAGGAGCATCTTTGCACTTTCAAGGAATATCCAAGGATGCAGAAGACGACAGTTTAGGGAGGTCAGCAGGGAACAAACTATGTAATGATGTGCCCCACAGAAAAATTTTCCATTCTACTTTGGAGGACTGAAACAAAGATTGACATCATCAGCATTTCGTTTTCTTAAGAATCACAGTGTCTGTTCGCAAATGAGGCTTTAGGGAGAACAAAATAGGGAGATGAGTTAAGAAGTTCTTGCAATCCTCAGACAAGAGATGATGGTAGTCTAGAATTTTTTATGGCAATATAGAAGGCAAGACATGGTTTTATGCAGAGTATATTGTGAAAATAGAGCCAAATGGTTGTCTGAATATTGAAGGTGACAGAAAGAGAGATTTTGAAAATGACTCCAATATTTGTAGAGTGAAAGTCTTATAATTGACAGAGATGAGGATTCTGGCAGAAAGCAAAGGTTTATTGGATAGTACATAAATTAATTTTGGGACATGTTAAATGTGAGATGCTTCTATGTTCTGAATGTGTTCCTCAAAATTCATGTGTTGGAGACTTAATACCCAATACAACCATGTTGCAAGGTGGGTTTTTTTAGGAGGTGTTTAAGTCCTGAGGGTTCCACCCTCATGAATAGATTAAAAAGACTTGGTGAGGAAAGTGTGGCCCCTGTATCAGTCCATTTGCATTTCTATAGAGGATTATCTAAGGCTGGATAATTTACAAAGAAAAGAGGTTCTTTTGGCTCACGATTCTGTAGACTGTAAAAGAAGCATGGTGCCAGTATCTGCTTCTGGTGAGGGCTTCCAGTAGCTTCCAGTCATAAAAGAAGGTGAACAAGGGGCAGACATGTCACAGGGCGAGAGAGGGAGCAAGAGAGAGAGGAGGTGGTGCCAGGCCCTTAAACAACCATTCAATGCCATCCCTATCAAGCTACCAATGACTTTCTTCACAGAATTGGAAAAAACTACTTTAAAGTTCATATGGAACCAAAAAAGAGCCCGTATCGCCAAGTCAATCCTAAGCCAAAAGAACAAAGCTGGAGGCATCACACTACCAGACTTCAAACTATACTACAAGGCTACAGTAACCAAAACAGCATGGTACTGGTGCCAAAACAGAGATATAGACCAATGGAACAGAACAGAGCCCTCAGAAATAATGCCACATATCTACAACCATCTGATCTTTGACAAACGTGACAAAAACAAGAAATGGGGAAACGATTCCCTATTTAATAAATGGTGCTAGGAAAACTGGCTAGCCATATGTAGAAAGCTGAAACTGGATCCCTTCCTTACACCTTATACAAAAATTAATTCAAGATGGATTAAAGACTTAAATGTTAGACCTAAAACCACAAAAACCCTAGACGAAAACCTAGGCAAAACCATTCAGGACATAGGCATGGGCAAGGACTTCATGTCTAAAACACCAAAAGCAATGGCAACAAAAGCCAAAATTGACAAATGGGATCTCATTAAACTAAAGAGCTTCTGCACAGCAAAAGAAACTACCATCAGAGTGAACAGGCCACCTACAGAATGGGAGAAAATTTTTGCAATCTACTTATCTGACAAAGGGGTAATATCCAGACTCTACAATGAACTCAAACAAATTTACAAGAAAAAAAGAAACAACCCCATCAACAAGTGGGCAAAGGATATGAACAGACACTTCTCAAAAGAAGACATTTATGCAGCCAAAAGACACATGAAAAAATGCTCATCATCACTGACCATCAGAGAAATGCAAATCAAAACCACAATGAAATACCATCTCACACCAGTTAGAATGGCTATCATTAAAAAGTCAGGAAGCAACAGGTGCTGGAGAGGATGTGGAGAAATAGGAACACTTTTACACTGTTGGTGGGACTGTAAACTAGTTCAACCATTGTGGAAGTCAGTGTGGTGATTCCTCAGGGATCTAGAACTAGAAATACCAAATCTCATGTGAGCCAATAGAGTGAGAACTCACTCATTACTGTGGGAGAGCACCAAGCCATTCATGAAATGATAAATGGATCAATACAACAAATGTAACAATGTAAAATCTGTATGCACCTAATAGCATAATTTCAAAATATATAAAGCAAAAATTGAGGGAATAAGAAGAAAAAATAGGCCCACTGAGTTGAAGATTTTAACACACTTCTCTAAGTAACTAATAGAAAAGCAAAAAGTAACCCCGTAATAATAGAAAAGATTTGAAGAACATTATCTAACAACATGATTTCTTTGTTAGTTATACACCACCACATACAATTTCAAGTTCATGTGGAATATTTAGCAAAATAGATTATATGCTGAGCTATAAAGTTTTCTGAGAAACCTAAGTCAATTTGTTGATTTTGTTTTTACTCATTGGTACAGTGGAGTGGTGATTTTGAAGCTCCTTACACGCTTTACAGGAAAGGAGAGGACCTGGGCTATCAATTTAAACATAATAGGTTGCTCTCCATTTATAAAATGTCCATTGTAATACTCAACTTCAAGTGAGAATCTCAAATTTTTATAAAATAGCTTTGAAGAGAGCCAAGCGCTGTATAAAGACAAAGCAATTATTGCTCAAATTAATGGCAGATGGTGCTATCATAGTTTCAATACATTGTATGTATAAAAAACTTGGGCAACATTATTTCATTAAAATATTAGGTCATGCCTAATTTTTCAGATTGCCCTTCATTTTGCAAACCAAATTAACTTCATCCAGTTTAATCGACCAGTAAAATATTAGCTGAATATTAGGTACTTACAGACCAAAAAATCATTCATTTTCTTGAAAATGAATTCACCCTTCCTCAAATTTAGAAGCTTTATCTTCTACTACAAGTAAAAATGAATAACCAAAATCAAAGAATAGAAATCCACAAAAAAGAGCTTAAATTCACTGTTATAAACCTGAACTTAATAGCCCAAAGATAGGCCATCTAAGCATAGTACCAATGAATTGTTAGCTGAATTCTGATATTAAGGTCTCAATGTAAAGATTTTTTCGAGAAAAACGATTGTTAATAAAAATACAATAAGTGAAATGGAAAGAAAATCTCATAATGAATGTTTTGTGAGATTTGTGAACTAGAACAGATGTTTTCCTCAAATTATTACAATTTCCCTGATTTCCTACAAGCTATTTGCTTAACTGCTTTTGTGATGTTAGCAACTTTAAACTTGTATGCACCATTTAAGAAGCAACAAAAAGGGAAGAAGATTAATTTGTTTTCTGTCTGCCTTATCTAAAACATTGAAATTTCAGTTCCCCTATTCTGAGTCTTTGCTTTTTAAGATAGGGATGATAATACTTAGGTTTCTTGCTTTCAAAATGAGTTCCTTAGCAAAACTGACTCAATCTTCCCAGTACTTGCTGGGTACCACAGGGGACATGCTATCTAGCACGGTTCACAGTGTACAAGGATTTGACCTTCTTATCAGTACTTGCTGAGTACTACAGGGAACATGCTGTTTGCCAAGGTTTACATGATATAGAGATGGTTTCTACTTCCAACATGTTTTTATGTGCTATGCTTAGGTGGTCCATCTTAGCAGCTATATTTACAGTGCCAGAAGACTTTGAAGGTATGGCAAAGAGCTTCAGTGTGGACTAAAGATACCTAAAAATATAAAAACTAAACATAATAGCCTTCAAAGTAGAATTTCACTTGGCAAAATTCCTGATAACCTTACTATCTGGCTACTAGACCTAAAAAAGAATCCTAACCTAATGATAAATTTCTAAACCTAGGAATTGAGTTATAGTTAATGTCAATGGCAAATGCCCTCAAAATAGTGACATTCTGGAGGCACTTTCTGTTTATTAGCCATAATTACCATCTTTTAAATCCCATTTTTCAGCACTAGAGATAAAAGTAGGGAAGATAAAGTACACTAGACTAGAATAAAATTCTGGAAATCATCAACAACATCATTTTGTAGAACAGCAGCCCATATTAGTTGACTTGATGAACAAAATTCGCCCTAAGAGTAAATGAAAAGGTGGCAGGTCTCTTGGTTCCTGGTCTACACTTGCTGCCTTTAAAGCAGAACAAATTTGAACATAAATTTGTGGAAGGAAATGATAAGTCACATGAGAATCTGAAACAGCACTGTCACACCAGAGTGAAGCTGATGATAGTGATAAGTGAAAATAGCTGACAGAATGCAAATAGGAGCAATGGGTGTACAATTCGGGGCAAAAGGTATGTTTCCTCCAAATCAAGGAAAATGAGCTCTCAAAGATTGTCATCGCAATAATGTCACTATTTTTAGTAACATTATTTCTCACTAAACAAAAATACAGAGAGTTATCGAAAAAGGCTAACACTAATGCATGGGTTACCTGGGCCATTTCTTGTGCCCTTAGACATGACCTGATGTTGTAACAGCTCATCTTTAATAAAACAAAATAATTCAATTTCAACAGAAGTTAGCATACTGTCAGCTTCTATCACACAGTCAGAGAAGCAGTATTGATTTCAGAATTTGCCTCTATGATCATCTTCAACAGAATGATGAAGTATGTTAGTTAAAATTGTAGATTTCTGAAACCCATCTTAGGCCTACTGAGCCAGGATCTTTGAACCAGTAATTGTCTGAAACACCACAAAGTCTGCGAACCCCTGAAAGGACACTCTGACCTCCTGCTTACATTTAAGTTCTGCCTTACACTCTGTAATTTTCTTCTAAAGTGTCACCTAATGAAAGTTTGAAGTGCTGTAAGAATTACTTGAAACCTCCTACATTTTATCTTGAATACTTTTTAAAGCCCACTTTCCAGTTATCAGAGCTTAGCATAATATCCTTTTAAGTGCTTTACATTTCTGCTTGAATCAGGATGACAATGATGGAAAATAAATGCATTCAGGAGACATCTAGGATGAGGGGAATAATAGCTAAAGCTTACGATGTGCCAGGCATTATTCTAACTGCTTTATACGCATTAATTCAATCCCCTAAACAAGCTCCATAAGATTTATTATCACTGATAGCACTATTTCCATTTTGTACTAGTAGAAACTGAGGTGCAGAAAAGGCTACATTCTCAGCATAAAAAACTAGTAAGTGGAAGAACCAGGATTCAAACCGAGGCAGTTGGGCATGATAGCCACTATTCTAAACGCCACCCTACTGTCCCTCTGCAGAAGTCAGTGGGATTTACTCATTGGTTGTGTATGAATTGCAGTTTCAAGAGGTTTCTAACTTAAGACATGTTTACTAACTTAGTTCATGTTTATTGAAATGGGAATAATTACTAGCAAATGCAATAGCACATATATAATGGCTTTATTATACAGAATGAAAAAGAAATTGCAGATTTCTCATACAAACCAAGGTGGAAGAAGCCCAGGATAGCCTTTTTCTCCCCTGATTACAAGCATAAATCCTGGAGAAAATAATGAAAAGCAACTACCTGAGAACTCTGAAAGAAAAATAATAAAAGGAGAGTAGAAGGAAGGTCACAACGTGAAGAATGGCCAGTATAGCAGTGAGTTTACTAGGTTTTTTTTCTCTCACTTATCCCTGGGCTTTGATCCAAGGGTGGGCCAAGTTCCAGAACTGTGCAGCAGGCACAAACAGTGAGAACTCCAGAAGAAGCGTCCCATCTCCAGCCAGACAACCAGAAAAGAGAACCACTACATGCTAGCAAGGAAGGATACAGGGACTCCCTTCTCTCTCTCTCTCTCTTATTTTTTTCTATCTGGCCTTCCTGGAGGCCAGCCCCAGTCTAAAAATGGCATTGCTGTGACAGCAACAGGACTGGCAGTGCTATAATGAGCATCTGAAATCTTAAGGAAAACTCCTTCCCTCTGGCTAGAGGAATGTGGGAAAGGAGTTATTATGGTTTCAGAGGGGCAGCAGAAGGTGGGGAGAACACTCCTTTTTTTTGCTTTTTGTGTGATGGTTAATTTCATGTGTCAACATGACTGGGCCACAGGATGACCAAATATCTGACTAATCATTATTTCTGGGTGTGTCTATAAGGGTGTCTCTGGAAGAGATGAGCATTTGAATTGGTGGATTGAGTAAGGCAGATGGCCCTCCCCAATGTGGGTGGACATCATTTAATCTATTGAGGGCCTGAATACAACAAAAAGATAGCAGAAAGCAGGATTTGCTCTCCCTCTGCCTGACTGATTGAGATGGACATCTCTCTTCTCCTGCTCATGGCACTCCTGCTTCTCAGGCCTTCAGACTCAGGCTGCAATCTACCCTATTGGCCCTCCAACTCTCAGGCTTTCAAACTGAACTATTATATATGACTCAGTGCTATTGTCAATTCTCCCCAAAATGATTTATAAAGTCAACAAATTGTAATCAAAATTCCAGCAAAATTTCTTGTAGATATCAAAGGAACTGGAAAAGCCAAAACAATTTTGACAGAGGAAAAAAGTTGGGCTGGATTTCAAGAATTATTATAAAGCTACAATAGTTAACATAGCAGAGTATTAGTGAAAGAGTAAATACACAGATCAATGGAACAGGACAGACTGTCCAGAAATAGACCTACAATTGATTTTTAACAAAAGGCCAGAGATAACTCAATGAAGAAAAGATTCATATGTAAAGAAAAGATCTTTAGCTTATTTTACTCATACAAAACTACACTCATAGATCTGAAAATTAACATTAACTCAAAATGAGTCATAGGCATAAGTATAAAATATAAATCTATAAATTTCATAGAAGAAAATATCAGAGACAATTGTTTTGACCTCGGGATAGGCAGAGTTCATAGCTACCAAAGGTGAAGAATGATCCATATAATAAAAAATTACTAAGTTGGACTTATTTTAAAACATTTGTTCTGTGGGGAAAAAAACTGCTAATAGAATAAAACAATAAGCCACAGCCTGGTAGAAAATATTTGCAATTCACATATGTGATAAAAATTTGTATGGAAGATATATTTTAAAATCTCAAAACTCAATGATATGAATGAAAACAAAAATCCCAATTAAAAATTGGGCAAAACGTTTCAGTAGACATTTCACAAAAGAAGGTAAATGAACAGCAAATAAGCATATGAAAAGGTGCTCACTATCATCAGGGAAATGCAAATTAAAGCCACAATGAGACACCACTGTACATCTACTAGGGAGCACCCTAACAATACCAATATCAAATCCTGGAAAGTATGTAATATAACTAGAACCCACGTATACTGTGAGTGAGAGTGCAATATGGCACAGCTGCTTGAGAAAAGAGTTTGGTGTTTCTTATAATTTAAAGCATACACTTACCATATGGCCCAGCAGTTCTGCTCCTCAGTATTTACCAAGAGAATTAAAAATTTATGTTCACACAAAATCCTGTATGTGAATATTTATCGTATCATAATGTATAATTGCCAAAAACTGGAAACAACCCACAAATCCTTCAATTAGCAAATGGGTAAAAAAACATTGTGATACATCCATACAATGGAATACTACTCAGCAACAAAAAGGGATGTGTATTGATTCATGCATTAACATACTTGAATCTTAAATGCATTATTTTGTAAGCCAAAGAATCCAGACCCAAAAAGCTCCACCCAGTATGATTCTATTTGTATTATAGTCTGGAAAAAAAAAACAAAGGATGGAGAACAGATTCATGTTTACCAGAAGCTAAGGAGAGAGAGAGGATTTGACTACAAAGGACAAGGAGAAAATTTTTTTGTGGGATGAAACTGTTATTATCTAGGTGATGGTAAGATGGCTTTCTGAATTTGTCAAAACTCATAGAACTGTATACCAAAAGGTGACATTTACTGTATGTTAATTTTTTAATAAATTAAAAAATAAAATTTAAATGCTAAGGTGTTTATGGTTAATAAAAAATGGAGAGAGAAAAATACCCAATGGAAAAGCAACATTTCTCCACATCAGTGTTCATTGTTTACCATGTGGCTATAAATCTTACCATGATACATACAAAGGACAACATGAAGAAGCAGCTTATACATCTAGAGCACACACAAAGTCTTATATTGATCTGTACTTATTTAAAATATTGTCTTGGAAATGTCTTACCTTTGTGTGTTCATTATGCATAAAGTTTAGCAAAAGAATAATCACAGAACGTTTTTTCCAAAAATGGTGGTGTATGGAGTGAATATGAAGTATTAACATCTTGCAATTACTTGAGAAATAACATTGGATGTTGATTTTCTTCCTTGTCAAAAATCACAATTTTTCTTAGAGATGCTGAATTACAGTTGCTATGGGAAGGCATGGCTGGAACTATCAGACAAAATACCAGTTGCTTTATTACGTAAGTTCCACTCTCCCTGTGGGACTCAAGTTTCCTCTGTGATTTGCAAAATGATGACATCCCAGCAAAAGCAACAGTTTACATTCTTACACTCCACAACATCTATGGCAAAAGAGTTACACGGAGGAAGACAACGGAGTCTTTTTCTGGATGAGCAAAGCGTCTCTGTAGTTAAAAAAAACCGGAGTTGATTCCTCTTCTACTGTTGAAGAAAAAGAGAAGGGGGGCCCTTTGAACTACATCATCTTCAGACAGTAGTCTCAAAGAGAACTACTTGTAATGTTTGCAGTTGATTACATTGTAATGGACCTTAAAGTACTTCCACACAGGTTGTGTGATAATATGTAGCCATTAGTCAAAGCTTAAAGTTTAAGCTCCAGGGGCAGTTATCCTAATCAACAGTGCACAGTCCAGGGTGGCCAATTCCCATTACATCAAAAAGGTCCATACTGTAGAGGTTGCTATTATAAGTACTTATTTTATCCTATGTTGATTAACTACGGATGTTTTGGTAATTATCATACTGATGTCAGACATAATTTTATAACTGAAAATTATGGCTTATTGACTAGCATTTCAGAAATTGGCTACCATTGATAAAATAATCAGACACATTGATGACACGTGGATTAGCTAAAATATTTGAGATATGCTTCCTATCTTTATATTAAAAGAGTACAAATATCATCCAGCAAAACCTTCATCTTTCACCTTTAGAGATGAAACCTGAGCTTGATTCCCTAATCTGTCCTTTGCCTAGTCATTGATACAAAAGAATTTCTGATTGTCTGTTGCTAACTATTAGGATTATAAAAATGCTACCACTGGAATGCTGTTGTGTTTGTTTTCAGTGAGCCTTTCATTGAAGGTATGGTCAGAGCACCTAAGCCAACAGACTCAGGCTTTCATTGAGCCTATAGAAAAAGTTGTATAAAATATTGAAGACATTGTATGCTAACAAACATCATACATTGTTCAAGAAATCATTACATTTTATTGTATTTAAGGGTAAAAAAACAAAAAAAGGGATTCAATTATTATTTATTATTATTTTTTGCTGTTGTTATTGATGTGTGGCTGTTTTTGCATTGCAATTGTAGGGAAAAACAAAAACAAACTCTTCAGCCAGCTGAAAAAATTTACCTAGGCTTTTGAAAAACTTTAGTCTCTTCCCGATTAAATCCTTCTCTCCCTGTGTCTAAGAAATTGATATTCCCATTTTAATGCTACCGTGCTTCCACCCCAGGCACAGCTTCCCCAAGTAAATTTGCCAACACCACTGAAACTAATTTCTCCTGGCCCTTGGGTCCTGATTACACCTGGGTATCTCCAGGAAATCAGCAGCAGCTTCCATTCAACTACTTTCTTTCATAATCTTCCAACCTACCTTTGACTTTTGGCTCAAGGCCTATTGACCTACCTTTGATTTAGATTTTCAGGAAAAATCTTATTCCAAAAATCTAGAGGTCTCTCTTTCATTCAAAAACAATTTACTCCTAACAAGTACGTAACAGCAGCAGGAGGCACACAAATGCTTAGGCAGATAGAGGTAGGTCCCTGGTGAAACCCCATCCTCCTCCAGTCTTTAATTGGAAAAAGATTTAATTGGGAACAGCCTGAAGGCTGAAAGAATGGACTGCTTGTTCTGGATGAGAAATGCGACCTGGAGTGAAAACTTCTGTTCCTGTTTGTCTACCCTTTCTTGATTTGTTCTTTCTGAATAATGCTTTTTAATCGATCAAATGTTGCCTTATCCAATACTACCTATGGCCTGGCCCTCCCCCATCCTGTGCCTATAAAAACCCCAGACTCAGCCACATTGAGAGAGAAACCACCTAACTGTGGGGGTGGGGAACCACTACAATGTCCCCTTTCTGCTGAGAGCTGTTCCATCACTCAATAAAATTCTTCTCCACCCTCCTCATCCTTCAATTGTTAGTGTATCCTTGTTCTGGGACATGGGACAAGAGCTCAGGAACTGCCGAACATGGGTATAATCTATAACATAGGTGGGCTGGGGCACAGCCAGCCCAGCTATTGGCTGAGCTGGTGCACAAGCCAAACTTGGCCAAGTAGGCGGGGTGCCTCCTGTGGCAGGTAGTGTGCATGAGTGAGGCCCAGGCAGGGACATCACCAGCCGGAGGTCCCTGGCTGGCAAAGTGGCCAAGAAAAGTCCTATGTCATTTCTGGGGGCTCTCCTGGGGATCCCCAAAGGGTGAGTAAATGTGAACCTAGACTCTTCTCTTTTTTCCTGAGGCTTCTTGTCCTCAGACATTTTTCTGAAGCCAAATGAACTACCAGACCTCTGATTAGCCAGTTAATGCCTAATGGCACAGCCACAGAGGACAGGATGTGGGAGAGGACCCTGCCACCCCAACACCTCATCACTCTTGGGGGTTGGGAATGTCAGTTTCTGTCCAAATCCAGTCTTTTCTATGTCATTTTTCTTCTTTCTTTGGGGACTCTCACAACACCTATCTTTTCTTTTATAATGTTAAGAGTGTTGTTGCAAACTACAAAGATATTATTGGGTAGAATGGGCACTTAGCCTAATCACAAAAAATGTAATTCAGAACAATGTGGTTACCATCTATTCTTAGATTCAGGGAGGATACAGTGATTAAGAGATTTTCCCCTGTTGAAAGAATCTATTTGCATAAGAGCAAGAGGCTTTTTCCCTCAGACACCTTCCCCTCCCTGCAATTAAGCTGGGTTTGTTTTTGTTTTTTTTTTTACCTTTCCTTCACCATGTCAGGAGTTAACACAGCCCTGCAAATACAGGGAGTTTTCCATGCAAGAAGATTTTTTATTCCTTTTGTAAGGCATCTTACCAGCCAGTTCCTCAATTCTCAGGGATTCCCTTTTCTCTCCCTTGTTTGAGGAGGACCCAGTTCCACAGATTTACCTTAGCATTCGGTTTATTATAAGGAACCAGGGAAGGAGTGGCCCTGTCAGTTGCTGGCTTCAAGTTTGGCAAGGGCCAGCTGGGACTTAATGAGTCCATGCACCCTTGCAAGGCACCTTTTTGTCCCAAACTCAATTTCAAGCTTCAGATTGAAGTCCTAAATAGAAAAACTGGATCTGAGTGATCCCAAAGCAGATGACAATGAAAGTCAAGGGGCAGAGCACAGGTGAGCATGACTGGTCACTGACAATTAGCACCCCCCGCCCCCCCACCATTTCATGGGTAGAAGTGATGCCCATATCCATAGCATAGATGAGGTTACCAACAGCAGGGAGGATAGGCCAGTAGGTAGATGAGTGCAGATAATTCCTACCCTCTAGGCCTCCCTGTTACATGGGTGAGAGCCTCATTGGCACCCATGGGCAACACATGCCAAGGTCACCAGGACTCAAGGATATAAAGATGGAAGAGAAAAAGGGAACACCATTTTTTCTCTCTCTCCTTCACATACCCCAGGTATTCACTGGAAAGAGAAAGGACCTAAGGGATGCCTTTTTCTCCTCTTTCCAGATGAGAAACCAACCATCTTCAGTCTGTACTTCTCTTGACTGCATCCTGCATCACTGGGACTCCTTTGAAAAAAAAAAAAAAAAAAAAAAACCTTCTTTTTTTTTTTCCTGTTTCCTTCTCTGTCCTATCTTTGTGGAGGGGTGATCACGTCTCTGTACCACAAGACACTCCCCTCTGAGAAAAGTTTAATTTCCCCAAACCATAAACTGCTTGGCTTAAAAACTGAGCTGGAAAGAGGGAACCCAGAAGCTTGACATGCCAGAAAAAGGGTAAAAGTTCTTACCAGTCAGACTTCTGGCCTCTCTCTCCCTGTGCAAACTGGTTGAATTAATGGTAAAAATCACTGTTTATATTAATAAAAACTGTAAAGTTTTTATTAATAGAAAAAGGTTCTGTGAGGCTAGTCTTACGCTGTAGTGAATCTGTTGTACTTTGTGCTAAGAATTTGTCTTTCTGTATCTTTCTTTCAGTAAGAGGAGTACCTTAGGTTAGAATGTGGGCCTAGGATCTCATAAGCCCACTGTCCAAGCTAGCCCACAAACTTGTCAGTAACAAATGTTGCTGCAGGTCTCTGAAACAAACAAACAGACAAAAACTGGATGAGCTCTCCATCTTGTTTTACAGCTTTAGGGCTTGACCCTATAACCATGTGGCAGTAATTTCTTTGGGTCTCTGCCATTTTACGGTGGTGGCCTAGGTTCAATCCTGGTTTAGGGAATGAGTACCACTTTCTGGTTAATAGCTGTGTGATTTTTACCATTTGCTGATTCTCTTCCCCGCCGTGAACAACTCCTAGCTTCCTTTCCTAAGTCTTCCTTTCTCTGAGCCTCCTTTAAAGATTCTAGATTTTTTAAAAACTGCTTACCACCTCTTTGAAAATACCTCGTACACTGGCAGTTAAGTTATAACCTTAGTTGAGGCTTGTTAGTTTCACCTGTGAGGTTACTTTCGGTAAAGTTCAAAAGCCAGAAATATTGGCCACTTGGTGTGGCTAAAGTTGGGTAATAAGGGATTTAAAAGGATTTTTTAAAACAGTGCCATGGTTAAAGGTCAGCTTAATTAAAAATGGATATTCAAGCTATAGGCATATTTAAAAGGCCTTTATATATTTTTTCTCTTCTTGGATCTTGTTTTGCTGGAGAAAGGTTTTTTCTTCTCAGTCAACTGAATTATTTTTCTCCACTCTTAATGCACACATGAGAGGCCCTAAGATAACTTCGCATAGCCTGGGACTGCTTGGGAAAAACAGAGATGGTAACATGGACCCCATTTTGGGAAAAACCTCTGTTTTCTTCATGGAATCCCAGGAATTAAAAAGTAGATCAATCCCTCTCAAAACCTGTTTTTTCTTCCAGCTATGCCTGATTATTAGGCCCTAGAAACTGCATGTTTTCCTAGCCCTGTTTCTTGAAGGCCAGTGGTCCAATTAATAAATTGGCAGATGAAAAATCTTACAACTACTGAATCTTCTTCTGTCTGTGTAGTAACATATGTGTTATATGTGTGATTTTATATTAAAAAGAGTTCTAATTAGCTGACTTAAAGAAAAGTGCCTAAATCAAATATTTTTAAAGGAAAAAAAAAGATGTAATGCATTTTAATCTTCACATGATTAAAGTTCACATTATTTTAATCTTTGAGAAAATAAAAAATAGTTTTAAATATTATTAGTTAAATAGATATGTCTTCAAAATGTAAACATGTGGTCTAAATCATGGTCAGATTCTAGGTTTCCTAAATGCTTTAAGGTCATAAATTGCTTCTTTGGCTTTTTAAAATTGTTCAACTTGCCTACTTTAAAGTTTGGTAAATTTTTGCCTGGATTAGAGGGTTTAAAGAATTGTTTTAAGTTAAATAAGATAAAGCTAAAGGTTTGAACAAGTTGTGGAAGCAAAAATTAATCTTGTTAAAGAAATTCTGTGTGTGAACATATCAACTAAATTCAAAAGGGTATTATTAGGTTTTTATATAAATTGAGCATTGGAATAAAAGCACAACAGGGTTTTCTTAAGGCACTGATCTGCTCTTTAACAAAAATTTGTAAAGGGTTATAAAAAGTTTCTAAGAATTTCACTTCATGGTCAAACTGGTTAAGATTGGATAGAATTATCTATAAGCTTTCATTAAAAAATTGGGGTTGATATCAATGGTGTGCTAATGCAAGGGTCAAATTTGGCTCTCTCTCTCAAACAAGATTTTTATGTAATAGTAGAGAATAATGAAAGATTTTTGTGTGCCATGTGAATAAACTACTAAAAAAAGGAGAAGACAGGAGACAGATTGTTTGGAAAGCTAAGTATTCCCTCTTAATGAGTAAAGGTTTTTGCCTTTTTAAAACATTTTCTGAGTCATCATTTTGTCTAAATAAATGACTTATGGTAATCTGGGATTCTACTGCATAATATCAAGTGTTTTAAACCTGTAACATATTTAATAGGCTTTCCAAAATCAAATTTCAGCTTCAAAAATTGTCTTTTCTGACCCCTAATTGTTGAATGCAACAGAAGGCCCCTGGAGCACACGAAATAGATGTGAACAAGATTATTTGACATGTTCAGTTACATGGGATTGCCAAAATAAAAATAAGGTTTAATCTCCCTCAGGTTATGTTTTAGTGAATAAAACTAATATATATTCCAAAATTATATGGGATTTCTAAAATTCTAATGTCTGAGTATATGCTATCAATCATAATTAAGGTTATTATGTTAAGTTATGGTAAATCACAGGATATAACCAAATTTCTTTGTCAATCATGTTTTTGGCTGTAACTACCCTGAACATTTTGTCATTCATAGGGAATTATTGTCTTGTTTTGATCCTCTTCAAAAGATGGTTTATAATCAGCTATAGGAATTTGACATGTGCTCTTAAATGCAGGTTTCTGATAACTTTGGAGATTGTGATGTTAGAATAGATGAAAAACATACAGGAATTATGAAGAGCTGAGATGTCCATGAATATCAAGCAGAACAAGAGTTAACAAAATAGACTGAACTAATAGAAAACTGAAGTAATCCTTTTTAATTTTTTTCCTTAAAATATTGCTGCTTCTTTATTTTTCAAAGTCAGGAAAACTTTTATTTTGAGGTATTTATAGCTTTTAACAATTGGCTAAGGTATATTTCTGTGAACAAAATTTGGAAGCTATTTGTGAGTATTCTTAACTTATCACAATAAAATTATTTGCCTACATACAATAAGAATCCACATCCCTCCCCCTTTTTTTTTTTTTTTTTTTTTTTGCAACAGGATGCAATTGGAGAATCTGGTTGTTTTACCAAGGCTTTGACTGGGAAGGTGGTAATGCAGTGGTGGACAGGTATGGCAAGGCCCAGAACAGCACAGAGTTCACTGTAGAGGAGTACACCCTCATGACCATAGGCACCATCATCAATGGAAAAGGCAGGCAAACAGGAACAGAAGTTCTCACTCCAGGTTAGTTTTTCATCCAAAACTAGCCATCTGGTCTTTCAGCCTTCAGCCTGTTTTGGGCTTGAAGGTGGGGTTTCACCAAGGACTCACCCCATCTGCATAGGCATTTGACTGTCTCCTGCCACTATCACATGCATTCTATACAGTTGCACAGAAACAGCAAAATTACACTAGAAGGAAATTATTATTGGCTCTTGCAGACTGTGGGTAACTCATCTTCCCTTTCAAGCTTGGATTTAGAGATGAAAGAACAAGAGAATAGAAAGCAGCTAAGAAAGAAAATGGCAATAGTAAAATAAGAGTTGAAATGCAGGAACTGGGTCAATGTTTTCACATAAAAAAATCTTATTAATAATCAGAACTCTTGAGATTTGCATCACAGAGCTGAATCCAAGCTTATTTGTTATTTTTCTTTGGGAAATTATGAAGTATTTTGAGGCTTCTTAAATTTTGTTCAAAAATTATGTCAACATTTTTTGAGTGGCTAATATATTTCTCATCAATCTATACTGTTCCATTAATTAAATTAGATGCTGACTCTTCAACTGAGAATTTGTTGAATCTGAGGCATAATAAGTCATTTAATCCTAGCTGGAGGCCAGAAATGCCAGGAAAGCATTTCACAAAGAAAACTTCTGGAATATAAATGTCCCCATGATGGGTCTCAAAATTATGTTTCTAAATGCACCTATCAACTTTGGATCATACTCAACAATGCCAAATTCTCAGAAAACAAAATTATGGAGTTAGAATGGATATTCACAGAGTTGATCTAGAAATACACATATTACAAACACAAAAGGTAGAAACTGACTACACATTTCCAGGAAAATCTTTTACATACATGCACTGTCCGAAAGATCACAATGTATGTACCTCTGCCAGAAAAAAATGGAGGGGCCAATATGGGGGTCACTGAGAGGAAAATTCAGTAAAGCTGTGAACTAAGACAGGGTGTGGTCTTGGACAAGGCTCATAAACTCCTTGGGCCTCTGTTCCCTCTTTGTAAAGAAGATAAGTGAATTTGATAGCCTCATTCTACTCCAAAATATTATAATTCTACATCTTACTGGAAGGATTCCAAGAAAGATTGTTCATTGTCTCTTCCTTTTTATCCTTCCTTGCAGAACAGTGGTTTTTAAAAATCCTTAAAAGCATTTTGGTTTGTTTTTAGTAATCACTTCGATCTATGAAAAAATGTAAAATCTTAATATTTAAATTTTTACACACTGTGGAGGAGATACATTTTAAAACAATAAAAACAGCTGGAATTAAAATATATCAAAATAGATATTCAAAACAAATTGTAGTGATAGCATTTTTTTAATTCAGGGTTTTTTTATTTAAAAAAAAATCACAGGAAGAGGTTACCAAAGTATTAAAAGTAAAGTATCTTTGTACTTTTTTCTCTGTTCTGTTTTCTAACTTGTCATCAATGGCCATGTATAGCTTCTATGATGAGGAAAAATAAATGTTTGTTATTAAAAACAAGGAAGGAAGGCAAAATAACTTGTTTTGTGTATGAGCTGTGAAGTATTCTTTATCACATAGAATATGTTAATTGAAATGCTATCTTCTTAAGTGTAATGGTTCTTTGCCATTATGTGATATTTTTTATTTCTTAAAACAACTTCCTCCATTAGACTGAAATTAAAGATGAAGGAAAGCAGACAACTGAAAATAATTTGCTACCTTAAGCATTTAGAAAACATCACTAGTCAGGATAAGCTCTTTTCAACATTTTTGTGCTGAGCAAAGAAAGATGATTTGTCCAGAGTAAAGGGGTGTCTGCTACAGCCAAAGGGTCAAGGACTTTGGGGGCCAGGGAGGGATGGAGTTGATAAAGAGCATACCTCTTAGAACATGTCAGTCATAACAAGGACAACTGCGAGCCCCAAGCAGGTGCTGAACCATGAGGTCAATGCCAGTGAGTTTCAAAGACCTCATTCTTAGATGAAGGTGGGATGACAGAATGACACACAGAAGGCAGAGAAGAAAACTGAGGAAGTAAGCTCCCCTCCAAAGACAGGGGTAGTTAATAACTATTAACTAACACTTATGGGCAATTACACTGTACCAGGCACTATGCTAAACACTGTACATGTATCAATGCATTTCTTCTTCTCAATGGCACTACGAAGCAAGTGTTTTTACAGATAAGGAAACCAAAGTGTAGAGCAATTCAATAACTGCACTAAGGCCCTGAGCTAGTAGTATGGGAAGCAGCATTCAACCCAGGCAGTCAGACTCCAGAGCTGGCTTTCTTAATAGCTTTATTCTTCTGCCTCTCTACCCATGCAATAAAGGAAGTAGGAAAGGATATTAAATATCTTACAATGAAGAGAAGAGTTATTCCTGGCATAGGAGACAGTAAAGAAAATCAGCAAAGTGTAACCCTAATAATCTACTATGGGACTCTGATGTTACAGTGTGCATTCCCAGTGTCTCAGATGAAAGCCACTCAATCAGTCTCCTGGATCCCTAGCCAGAGGATATTTGAAAGAGAAGACAGTCAATAAAAACTATTCAAGTAAGTTAGAGACATATATATATATATATATCTCCATCATACCAAGAGGAGATTGAACCTCAGGCCAGAAATGCCAAAATGAGTCCTTTCTTTTTTTCTGTTTTGGAGACAGAGTCTCACTCTGTCGCCCAGGCTGGAGTGCAGTGGTGTAATCTTGGCTCACTGCAACCTCCACCTCTGGGGTTCAAGCGATTCTTCTGCCTCAGCCTCCCGAGTAGCTGGGACTACAGGTGCACGCCACCAGGCCCAGCTAATTTTTGTATTTTTAGTAGACACGGGGTTTCACCATCTAGGCCAGGATGGTCTCAAACTCCTGTCCTTGTGATCCACCCTCCTCACCCTCCCAAAGCGCTGGGATTACAGTTGTGAGCCACTGCACCTGGCCAAGTCCTTTCTTAAATAAAAAACTCATTTCTTAGTAATTCCCTGACCTAATTGAAATCTGTATCTGTGGGATAGATTAGGATATCTAGAATCACAGACAATAGATAAACCATTATTCAGGAGTTGAGTGCCTCTACTACAAATAATAACCGGGCTTAATCTTCAGCTGCAAATATACTTCAGTTAAGACAAAAGAAAGATCAACAAAACATTGCTGTCTTGGTATGTCTGACATCTCCATACAAAAATCTCTACTTGGAAATATAAATGTGTGTATGTGTTTTTAATTTTTTTAATTTATTATTTGTACTTAGTACTGCACCCTGCTGGAGCCTGACATGGAAATTTTTGTGAAAGAGATTTATTGAGGAAGTGCTCTCAGAAGGAACCTGTTAGGAAGTGACGAAAGAAAACTCAGGCAAGTGAGGAAAGCTAAGTGAGGATTTGGTGTCCCCTGGAGACCCTGGGGTTGATACCTCCTTAATGCAAGGGGGCCAGTGTTGTACCCGTGTAATAGTCATTAGGCATGGCCTACAATAGATTATAGGGTGAAAACATAGGGGCAAAATAGCATTGAAATGCAATGCACTGTTTCTAAAATAATTATTGAACTCCATCCACAAATAAAATAAAATATAAAATAAATCATGAAAAAGTAGTAGAACACAAGAATATGTACTGTTGATTTCGATTAAGCAAAAATGCATTTAGGAATATCTACAAAAAATGTCTTTCAGACAAGGATTCCTGTCTTCATTAGGTTATCTTCTCCTGCCTGGCATATGGTAGATAAGTAATAAATGTAGCATTAAATAGTTGTCAATTGTGCCAATTACTATTCCCAGAACAATAACTCATTGCCACACCAACCACGAGTATTCACACAGTCTCATTTAAGTTAATGTTCCTGAAAGTAACTAGGCATATCTCTACATGATTAGCAGTGATCAGACAATCTTCAGCTATTCAGCTTTGCCACAAAGAAAGCATTTAGTAGGAAACCTGTTGCTCCTTCTGATTAAACCTTCTTTTTCTAATGTATTTTTAGAGCTTACTGAAAAACAATACATGATTATGACTGGATTTATTTTAAAGAAAACTAAACACTGAATCCCATATCTGCATTTATTAAATCCCAGAAAAATGTTAACAAGAAGAGAATATTTATAAGGTGCAAATGGGAGTGCTGACATTACTGCTGTGATGCTTTTGCGTAAAGTGTAGTGGTTGCAGCATTCCATATGTTCTAAATATACCAAAGCTATGACCCTCAGTAGAGAGGATAACTATACATCCTAGGGTGCCCAGGACCATCCAGGTTGCGCTTAAGTTCCCCTATGAGTAAATGCCAGCCTTGAAGGGAGTTAGAAAGATCCTGCATGGTGCTCAAAGTTTTGGGGATCCCACTGAGCTTTGACCTGCGAGTGCAACTCTAATAATAATAATCACAGCCTTAAGCTATGTTTAGCCCCACCCCACTCTCCCATCTAGTCAACTGGAATGACAAGTTTGGGCAAAACAAAACCGCAGTAGGCAAAAGAAAGCAGGCTTTGTCTGAGCATCCTTGGGTCTGTTAAAGGACTGAGGCTCTGAGGCCTCTGTTCCTGCAGCCTCCTTTTAGTCCAGTGGCTTCAACCTTAAGCCTCACCATTCTTTAATTTACTTCCTTTTCTGATCTAGATGATACGAGGGTTCATTGGCCTTTCATTTTCATACAGTTCTTAAAGCAAACTAAATATGGCCTGAGAAGGGCCCCATATTTCTATATTTGAGTGTTTGTGGAGGAACTGCAACCTAACTTAATAGGTAGACAAGATAGAAAACATAAGTTAGGAGCATGTGCCTGTAACAATAGCTGAGTCTTGGCCAATCCCAGAAGCCATACTTCAGCCCCTCATACACTGCTGAGTGTTCAATCTATGTTCAAGTAAGGCAAACGCCAACCTGTAACGAATCCAGCTGTGTCTGTACCTCACTTTTGATTTCTGTACGTCGCTTCCTTTCTTTTGTCTATAAATTTGTTCTGACCACAAGGCAGCCCTGAAATATCTCTGAATCTGCTGTGATTCTGGGGGGCTGCCCAATTCACAAATTGTTCATTACTCAATTAAATGCCTTTAAATTTAATTGGGCTAAAGTTTTTATTTTAATACAGTCATTTTCAGTATTATTTTATCCTAACCAAATGACGTTTATATATCTTTCTAAATACACAACAAATATCCATTTCCATGAAGAAATCTTTAAAAATATAAAACCAAGAAGAAAGGATTTTATTTTTAAAATCAGTAACAATCTCAACATTTCAAAGAAAATCACTGCTATCTTTTGGTATGTTTTCTTTCTATGTTTTTTTTTTCTTAATGACAATATCTGTGTTATGGACACAAATGTACGATAAAATTATTTGTAATCTTTTTCATTTATTGTGCTTTCCCTGCATCAACCTTTGACAATATGATTTTTAAGTTACTCACTGGAATCTACTATATAGATGTGGTGATGAAAAATGCCAAACTCCATGAAATATTTAAAGAAATTTATTCTGAGCCAAATATGAGGGCTATGACCATGACACAGCCTCAGGAGGTCCTGAGAACATGTGCCCGAGGTGGTTGGGTTACAGCTTTGATTTATACATTTTAGGAAGACATAAGACATCAATCAATACATGTAACGTGTACATTGGTTTGGCCCAGAAGGTGGGACAACTCAAGCAGGGGCACTTACAGGTCATAGGTGGATTCAAAGATCTTCTCATTGGCAATTGGTTGAAGAAGTTATGTTATTATCTAAAGACCTGGAATCAATAGAAAGGAGTGTCTGGGTTAAGACAGGGGGTTATAGAGACTAAGATTCTTATTTTGTAGATGAAATCTCATAGGTGACTGCCCGTAGGGACAATATATGGCAAACGTTGCCTAATCAGAACTTTAAAAGTTGCCAGGCTCCCCAGAAAAGGAAGGAGATTCTCTACAGAATGCAAAGAGACAGCCGTAAGGCCATCGCAAACTATGTCAAAGAAATATATATTGGGGTAAAATACTTTGATTTCCTTTAGGGCCTGCTATCTGTCATGTGATGCTCTACTAGAGTCAGGTTAGAATTTGGTATCTTATTGCTGCATAGGGTCTGTTCTGTCAGTCATAATATCTCTGTTTTAATGTTAATGCTGGTCAGCTGTGCCTAAACTTCAAAGCAAGGAGAGTATATTGAGGCATGTCTGACCCCCACCTCCCACCATGGCCTGAACTACTTTTTCAGTTTCCTTTGGAATACTTTTGGCTGAGAAGAGGATTCATTCAGTCAGTTGGGGGCTTAGAATTTTACTTTTGGCTTACAGATGTGTTACCATGTGTTTAATCAATCTCTGTGTGGGTTCCACTCACCCACCTCCCTCCCTTCTCCTCTGTTCGTGAAGAAGTAACTTGTGAGTCAAAAGCACAGAAGGTTCTGGGAGAGTGAGAGGCAGAGTGGCTTCAGGCTGGCTTGGGTGACAAGATGATAACCCCTTTAGCCTCAGTTTATGACTCATGCTACCCTTGAAGCATCCTCAGCACAATCTTGATTGAGCCAAAGAGATCTTGGCTAAGTGTGACTGGAGTTTATTCTTCCTTTTTTTCCTTATTTCCTGCTATAAGGTCCAAATTTGAATTTGGTTAATAAATAACTTTCATTCCACTTTCCATTTCTACATTAACTGTTTTATGGAAAATATATTATGTGATGCCAATAATGTAGAAAAAATATAATGGGCTTCTCTTTTATGCATAAAATCTGAAAATAAATTTGAAAAGCTATACTTTGCAACTTTGACAGTTTCCTTTTCTGACTTCTTTGTTCTAGCTAAAACCTAATCTTTTTATACGTATAGAAAAAATTCAGAGGTACCTCTGGTACAGAGTAAACCCAGCCTCAGAGTGTTAGGTTCACAAGGGGATGGCCACTTTTCTAGTATGAAACACAGAGGATGGGCTTACAATCAATATAAGAACACAGACAAATGTGTGTCCAGGCAACTGCTGGCACCCATGCCTAAAGCGACTGCTGAGATGGTTTAAAACAACATGACTGAAAAAATATTCAAATCAAAATTGTTAATTTTAATTATAATAACTAGCTTTTTGTCAAATCTAATTTGGAATTGGAAATAGAAGTACTGCTAATCTTCCTTGGGCTGGATTTAATTTTATTTGGCATCCACATAAATGGAAAAAAATGTATACTGTAACTTTTTCCTTTTGTATATGACTCAAAAATGTTTTCATCCCCAAAATCCTGTCTTAGGCCAGTCAAATAAAATCAGCTTGAATCACATCCCACAATTCACATCTCCATGGGAGACTGGAGCTTGTAATTCCTCTAGTGACTCCAGGCATTCAGAAAAATGGAATCTTATGGATTCAGATTAACCTCTGTTTCTGAGCTCAGGTTTCAACTCATGAATCATTTTAATCTTATTCTGTACCATGTCAACCCAGATGTAAAACCCAGAACTGCTGCTTTTTTGCCACAAAAACTCTCTTTTCACAAGGCTTTTTATTGAAAGCATTGTACTGAAATCTTTGGTAGACAGGAAGGTTTACAACTTAAAACTGCAAAACCAAGCCTTAAAATAAGTCATTCTATTCTCCCAAATAGTTATATTTCAGTTGCTCCTTTGCTTTAGTGTATTTCCAAAAGCAGTTTCCTTTCTAAGTCTTTGAACTGTCTGGCATCTTTGCAAAGGTCAGGTTTTCTGTTTCACTGTTACCCCTTCAACCCCGTGCAGCATAAATTTTTGTGCATCTTCCTTTGTCTTTATGGCAGCCTTATTGATGGTACATTAGTTCAAACTAGCACTCTTGTACATAGTGAGGAGTTCCCGAAATCTAGTGTGCACAGAGACACATACCATTATATCCTTTAAGGTGTTCACAACTGCAATTATGAATAAGTGTCAAACTATATTCAACAATAAAGCCCACCTTATTAGAAAATTCAGAGGAATGGTGCCCTTCAGAGTAGGTTTAAGCACTGATATAAAGAACACAGTGCCCCTCACAGACAGCTCCATCCCATAGCTGGCTTGCCATGGCTGTAGGAAAGCTACTACATCTCCCCATCTACCAGTCAGACAGAGAGCTTGATTTTCACAACCATTGAACACAATTCTTCAGATACTCAGTGATTGGACCACCCCAAATTAATCCCCATGGCTAGGGGCATACCTTGCAGTGACTGGCTTAAACATAAATTACCAGAAGTATGGCAAGAAGAGTTGGATAGCCTGCTTGATTTAAATCAAGCCAGCCTGGAGATGGGGCTAACTCCATCCAAACTACATGGGTACTACACAAGGTGGGGAGGAGTATGAATGACTTCTGGGAAGACTCTCACACTGTTCATGGCAAGAGGGAGACCTCATCTGCAGGGCCAGCAGCCCAGCATCACATTCTATGGGGACTATCTACTAAAGAGACTTACAAGTTTCACTTTGGGAGGCCGAGGTGGGTGGATCATTTGAGGTCAGGAGTTCAAGACCAGCCTGACCAACATGGTGAAACCCCATCTCTACTAAAAATACAAAAAAAAATTAGCTGAGGCTGGTGGTGCATGCCTGTAGTCCCAGTTACTCGGGAGGCAGGAGAATCACTTGAACCCGGGAGGCGGAGGTTGCAGTGAGCTGAGATGGTGCCACTGCACTCCAGCCTCGGCAACAGAGCAGGACTCTGTCTCAAAAAAAAACAAAGGTTTAAACAGGTCTGTCAAGTCTTGTACATTTTAAACCACTTAAAAAATCTACCCTCAGCAGGTGGTAAACATGACATGAAATGATAACCATCATAAGCTATTAATTCTCTTATTTTCACTCTGACTTACCATTTGAACTTGATATGTAGCCCTATTTCTTTACTTCAACCTCAGTAACTCCATAGAGCAATCACGCTAGTCCAACTTAGCTATTGCTGCCGACTTCTGCCTTAGGAGAACATCCCCATCACAGTCGCCATCTCTGCCTTTCTCCTCATCCCTCTGAGCTCCTACACTCCTGAGTACTTTCTCCTGGTCTTTGCCAATTGGATGCTAAAAACTTACAAATATGCAGAAAGTACACTTCTATATAATGAATCTAATTGTAGCCAAAACTTTTTTTTCTTCTAAGATATGCTCATTTCATTCTCTCTTTCCATAATCACAGCTGCAGTTGATGTCACATATATATGTTCTCTGTCTGGCACTGTACTAGACACCTTTTTCATCCCAATAAATTCTCACAACAAAATTATGTTTCCCGCTAGTTTGCATATTAGGAAACTAAAGCTCAGATGAAATAACTTGTTTAAATCATTCATTACAGTGGCAGAGCCATGTTCGTCTGATTCTCTCTCCTCTGGGTCACAGTGGAATACAGCCTGGCCTACTCTCACCTTCTCCCTGGAGAGGATATACTTATATATAAATAGGTCAAAGAGATGCAGCATATTTCTTTCTTTCTTTCTTTTTTGCCTAGGTTAAAGGTTTAGGAGTCCTCCTTCCCACCAAGCCCAGGTTCAAATCTTAAATCTTAAAACTCCAGTGGGGCGAGGTGGGGGTGGGAAAAAAACTCATATCCCATAGAGCCAGGAACAGTGTAGGTGCAGGCAATGGGGAAGAAGCATATTACCCAATATCTCTATTGGCATCAAGCCAGGCCACCCACCCTCGTTTCCCAGACTAGCGTAGTAGCAATAGATTTGCTTTCATGTAGAAAATTGTTGAAGTTAGAGCTAGCTAGGATTGCTTGAGCTCAGACTCTTAAATCCAGACACACAAAAGAGAGACTACATCCATGTAATCCACTTAGGAAACACCAGCTTTAGGGGAAGAAATTACTCCCATAATATTCTAGCATTTGCACATTTCTCCTTTTGAAAAGTGAAATTTCTTGCCTTAACTCCTCTCTAGAGAGTTACAAGGGGGACATGAAGTAGAGAATATTTGAATTCTCTCTTTACATAAGCATCATAGATGTTAATTGTAACTAGAAATGTTTTATTGACAACTTGCAACATTTATTACTTGCAACAGAGTGTGAGGCTCTAAGAAAACTTCCTAGGACCTTTAGAGAGTTTTGATTTAATATGGCTAAAGTGCATCATTGTGATACTGATTTCAGTTAGGAGGACACTTCTTCAGATAACCATGCTGTAACTCTGCTAGCTAAAATGGTTCACATGCTTTGACTCCATTCACAGTTTCTTTGCCCAAAGCTTCCCCAGACCTCTGTGACATAGGATGCCTGGAGCCAAAGCTATCCTGGCTCACAAGAAATCCTTGTCCAGAATGAGAGAGAGAGAGAGAGTTTGTGCAAAACAAAGCAAAAGGGCTTGACCACAGAGTAAAAGAGTGTTTGCTTTCTTTCAGAGGCCCCTTTCTACTTGCCCAACTTACTAAGCTAGTTCCACAAAAAAAGCATAAAAGAACATTTATGAATTCAAGAAACTAAAGAGCCTGGAGAACTGATTAATTTACCTCCAGGATGCGTAAGTCAGCTTTATTTTCATCCTGTTGCGTGCAACTAGTGGTAAAAGATGGAGCCTTCATTGACACTGTGAGTCTGCGGTCCTCATTTTCACAACAGTTTTTCCAGGCTCCCAAGACTCTTGATACTTTTCAAGATATTCTTTACTACTCTGAGTACCTACTGCTTCCCTCCCACCTTTCTGCTTAGCAGAAGAGAAAACCGGAGCCAAAAATATGAATAGACCCAGAATTTTTCAAGCCCTGTTTGTAGTATATTTTAAACTTTCAGCTACTGGGACTCACTGCTCACATTATAGTTTCAAGTACAGTTTGTGGCAGGTCTTCTTTAATGAAAAGATTCACCAGTAACTATTAAGATCCATTTTCAATGTTTCTTCTTGGGCAACTTAAGTGTGTTCCCCAGAAACAGGTTTATAGAACAGTATCCACAAAGAGCAAAAACCTGTATCCACAAAGAGCAAAAACCTAAGTTTCAAATCAGTCCAAGTCAAATGATCACAAGTAGAGAATTAATAAAACTAGCTTTAAGGGGGGTTCTGCTGTGTTCTGACCTTCAAATAGATTAAATTTTGTTTTTGTTTGTTTTTCCTCTTACTTTTCTGGCAGCCACCAAGTATGATGACAATTTATTGTATTTCAACAAAAAACGTGTTGTGATGGCAACACCTTTTGTGTTTTAACTTTCTATTCACAGTGACAAAAGTTTAAACCTGCCCAATGTGTCCTTCAGGAAAGTTAAAAGAATAAAGGAGATACTTAAGATAGCATTTTTCCTTAATCAGAAGAAGACAGAGTATGACATAAATACAAGAGTGTGATTACTGGTTAGCAGAAAAAATTCAATTCTGTGTTATTCCTATATAAATCTTATTTCATACATTATAAAAATATGGGCACTCTTCAGGAGTAATAAAACCTTCAACAAGATTTAAGTAGAGACAGGTATCTAAAAGCAATGACACCTGAATGATTGCCAACATGAAATACATCCCTAGTGGTTTAAAATGCTTAAAGAATAAACACTACAAAGGTAAGCAGCTTTACTAGGATATAATTCAAACTTCACATTTACTTCCAGTTCTCCATTAAACCCACACATTTGTTGTCTGCTTTGGGTGTGTTACTGAAATGCATCTACACTACTTTTATAACTGATAACAGAAAAAACAATCAGTACCCTTCATCTTTTCATTTCTTCTGTAGTGTCTGCAAATGAAATAAATCAAACTACAGACCATAAAACAATTTGGAGAATCAATCCCATTATATAAATGTAATTTACATAAAAATTGAGACGCATTTATGGCAAGAGCTGAAGTGCCTAGGCCAAATTGTTTTTCCCCCTTAGCAAGACAAATTAAAATAGATAAAATATTCTCTATTTTTCCTTGTCTCTTCACAATTTAAGAAATGACAAACCAGTCTTTTCCTTCTCATTGGAAGGGGATGTGGTGGGCTTCTCTGGACACAAAACTATAAAGTGAGTGGCCATGCTCTGCTATAGAGTCCTTCCCATGTCCTGGTCTACCCTGTTAGTTGCGATAAATGCTACGTGATATTTGTAACAAAAGGAAGGATGGAAGGAAGGGAGAGAAGGAAAGAAACAGAGAAAGAGCCTGCTCCAGTCAGACCACATGACTTAATCACATTCTATTTCCAATAGATCATTGGTCATAATTTGAAGATATAGCAATGTATGGAGTGACATCAGCAAGATGCCAGAATAGGAGTTTCCAATAATTCCTCACACAAACATCAATTTGGACAGCTATCCACAAACAAAAAAAATCCCTTCACAAGAGCTAAGAAATCCAGGTGACAGATTAGTCACCTGTGTTGAACACAGAAATAAGAAAAAAAAAATGCCTTGAATGGGGTACAAAAGGACAGTTTCACATTACCCAAGTCAGCTCCCCTAAGCCTGCAAAGCACAGCACAGAGAGATACCTTCTGCATTGTTGTGTAGTGTAGAACACAGAGAGAGATACCTTCTGCAAGGAAAAAGGAGAGTAAAGTAAGCACTCAATTTCATGGACCCCAGCACCAGCCTGCCCTCAGTGAACCGTGGCGCCAGACCAACCACTGGGAACACAGGCTCTAGGCTTACCTTAGTGTCAGGCCCACTTCAGCCTTCAGACCAGCCCCTGGGAACCTAGGCTTCAAGCTTAACTCAGCGCCAGGCCAGCCCCCATGGTCCCAGGCTCCAGACCTGACCCAGTGTCTGCTCAGCCCCCATGGACTCAGGATTTGGACAATCCCTTGTGGACCCAGGATTCAGGCTCACCTATACAGACCAGTGCTCCAGGACCACCCCTGCAAATCAGCCATAAGTCCCATCCCAATGGTCCTCAGTGCCAGACCAACCCCCTCAAACTCAGGATCCAGGACCGCACCCATAGAATCAGGCTCCAACCCCATACCCATGGACTCAGACACCAAGTCCACCCACTGACCAAGGCACCAGGCTAATTTGCCTGAGGATGTTAGTAGCAAGGCCTGCACATGGACCATACCAACCAGCCCACACAGACTCTGGTCAAGCTGAGTGGTGAAGGGCTTTCCCTGCTGAAGGCAGTCTGTAAAGATTGGAAGAGGTGCCTACTTCTTCAAATTTGCAGATACCAATGAAAGGTCACGAGAATCACAAATAATGATGGAAACATGATATACCAGATGAACAAAATAAAGCACCAGTAAATGACTCTAAAGAAGTGAAGCTCTACAAAATTTCTGACAAATAATTCAAAATAATTGTCTTAAAGGAACTCTATGAGCTACAAGAGAACACCGATAGATAAGTAAACAAAATTGGGAAAATAATACATGAAAAAAATTAGAAGTTTAACAAAGAAAAAGAAACCATAAAAGAGAAACAAAGTTCTGAAGCTAAATAACACAACTGGACTTAAAAATTTAGAGAGCTTCAACAGCAGACTCAACCAAGCAGAAGAAAAAAGCAGTGGTTCAGAGAGAGGTCATTTGAAATAATCCAGTCAGAGAAGTAAAAAAAAAAAAAAAAAAGAGAGAGAAAGAGTGAAGAAAGTTTATGGGACTTCTTGAACACCATCCAGTGCACCAATATATGCATTATAACATTCCAACAGGGATCAGAGAAAAAGAAATGGAAATATAACTCATTTAAAGAAATAATAATAGAACAGTTCCCAAATGTAGAGAGGGAAGTGAAAGTACAGCTCTGTGAATCCCAAAGAACCCCAAATAGATTAAACATAAAAAGATCTTCACCAACATAACATTATAATCAAATTCTCAAAGTCAAAGAAAAAATTCTGAAGGCAGTAAGAGAAAAGCAAATCATCACATAAAAGTGAAATTCCATAGACTATCAGCAGGCTTTTCAGCAGACCAAGATAGAGCAAGATGATATATTCAAACTACAGGAAAAATAAATAAATGACCAACCATGAATACTATACCCAGTAAGCTATCCTTCAGAAATGAATGTGATATAAAGCCTCCCAGATAAACAAAAGCTGAGACGGCTCATCACCATTAGGCCTGCCTCAACAAGAAGTGCTAAATTTCAATTCTTCAAGTTGAAATAAAAGGATGCTACCAACATGAAAACATATGTAAGTATAAAATTTGTGGTAAAGATAAGAATATAGTCAAATGCAGTATACTCTATACTGTAATAGTGATGCATATATCACTTTTCACTCTAGTATAAGATTAAAAGTAATCCCAGCACTTTGGGAGGCCAAGGCGGGTGGATCACAAGGTCAGGAGATCGAGACCATCCTGGCTAACACCATGAAACCCCCATCTCTACTAAAAATACAAAAAATTAGCCAGGCATGGTGCTGGGTGCCTGTAGTCCCAGCTACTCGGGAGGCTGAGACAGGAGAATGGCGTGAACCCGGGAGGTGGAGCTTGCAGTGAGCCGAGACTGCGCCACTGCACACCAGCCTGGGCGAGAGTGCGAGACTCTGTCTCAAAACAAACAAAAAAACAAAGATTAAAAGATAGTATGGAAGTATAAAATGTTATGGTTTCTGCTAAAAATTATTACAGTTATAATAATTTGTGAAGTGATACATAATATAAAAGATGAAAATTGTAATATCAATAATATATAATGAGGAAGAAAAGTTAAAGTGTTTTTATGTATGCCATCAAACTTATCAGTTGAAAACAGACTATTATAAGTAGTTTTATGTAAGTCCCATGATAACCACAAATAAAAAAAAAAGATGACAAATACAACAAAAAATAAAAAGGAATCAAAGCAAACCTGCCCAAAATATTATCAAATCACATAGGACGACAGAAACAAAAGAGCTACAAAATAGTCAGAAAACAATTAACAAAATGGCAATAGTAATTCATTACCTATCAATAATTACTTTAAATGTAAATATATTGAATTCTCCAATTAAGTCTAAGTGGCTTTAAGAAGATTAAAATCATATCAAGTATCTTTTGTGCCACAATGCTATGAAATTAGAAATCAATAAGAGGAACGAAACCTAGAAAATTTGAAAACATTTGGAAATCAAACCACATGCTCTTGAATAACCAGTGAGCCAAAGAAGAAACTAAAAAGAATATTAAAACATTTTGAGACAAATGAAGGTGGAATGCAGCAAAAGTAGTAATAAGAAAAAAGTTCATGGCCTACATTAAAAAAAGACAGAAAACCAGGCACAGTTGTATGTGCCCGTAGTCCCAGCTACCTGCAGGTTGAAGTGGGAGGATCACTTGTGCCCAGGAGTTTACAGCTGTAGTGTGCTATGTGCCCCTATGAATAGCCATTATGCTTCAGCCTGGACAACATAGTAAGATCCCCATGAGACAGACAAATAAATAAATAAATAAATGAGACAAATAATAAATAAATAAAGACAGATCTCAAGTAAACAACCTACCATTACACCTCAAAAACCTGGAAAAAGAACAAACTAAGCCGAAAGTTAGCAAAAGGAAGGAAATAATAAAGAGCAGAGCAGAAACAAATGAAACAGAGACTTAAAAAATAGAAACGATTGATGAAACTAAGAACAAACAAAAGGCAAACAAAATTAACAAAACTTTAGCTAGAATAAAAACAGAAAAAGAGAAGACTCAAATTTAGCAAATTATAAATGAAAGAGGCAATAAAACAAAGAATACCACACAAATATAAAGAATTATTAGAGAATACTATGAACAAGTATATACTAACAATTGGATAACCTAGAAAAAAATGGATAAATTTCTAGAAATATACTACCTACGAAGACTGAATCATGAAGAAATACAAAATCTAAATAGACAATAATGAATAGATAGATTGAATCAACATATTTAATCTAGTTATTAGTATAAATATCAAAGCACAGTATAATCCCAACAAAGCCCAGGATCTGATAGCTTCATTGTTGAATTCTACCAAACATTTACAGAAGCATTAACATCAATCCTTTTCAAATTATTCCAAAAAATTGAAGACGAGGAAATGCTTTTAAATCATCTTAAAAAGCCAGTATTACACTGCTATCAAGCCAGAAAGGGCATTACACAAAAATAAAATTACAGGCCAGTATCCCTGATACTGTTCATGGAATTTTCATGAAAAAATCCTCAAGAAAATGCTAGTAAACCAAATTCAACAGCACACTAAAAGAAGCACACACCATGTTCAAGTACGATTTATCCCCAGGGTGCAAGTATGGTTCAATATACACAAATCAATACATGTGAAACACCATATTAACAAAATGAAGAACAAAAATCATATGATCATCTCAACAGAGGCAGAAAAATCATTTGACAAAATTCAACATCCTTTCATGATACAACCTCTCAACAAATTAGTTATAGAAGGAATGTACCTCAACATAATAGAGACCAATATATGAGAAGCCCACAGCTAACATCATACTCAATGCTGGAAAGTTGAAAGCTTTTCATCTAAGATCAGGAATAAGACAAAGATACACACTCTTGCCACTTCTATTCAATATAGTACTAGAAGTCCTAGCCAGGGCACTTAGGCCAGAAAAAAATAAAGGTATACAAATTGGAAAAAAAAAAAAAGGTAAAATTGTCTCTGTTTCCAGGTGACGTGATCTTGCAGATAGGAAACCCTAAAGACTCCACAAAAGATCTTTATAACTAATCAGCAAATTCAATAAAGCTGCAGAATATAAAATCAACACACAAAAATCAGTTGTATTTCTCTTCACTAACAACAAACCACTTGAAAAAAATTAAGAAAACAATCCTAATTATAATACCATAAAAATACCAAGGAATAAATTTAGCCAAAGAAGTGAAAGATCAGTACACTGAAAACTATAAGATATTGATAAAAGAAATTGATGAAGACACAAATAAATGCAAAGATATCCCATGTTCATTAATTAGAATATTTAATATTGTTAAAATGCTCATATTACACATAGCAATCTACAGATTCAATGCAATCCCAATGACATTTTTCACAGAGACAAAAAAAAATTCTAAAATTCATACGGAATATGAAAAGACTCCAAACAGCCAAGCAATCCTGAGCAAAATGAACAAAGCTTAAGGTATCACACCGCCTGATTTCAAAATATGCTACAAAGCTATAATAATCAAAACAGTATGGTTTTGGCATAAATATAGACACATAGACCAATGGAACAAAATAGTCCAGAAATAATTCCACTTATTTTTAGTCAATTAATTCTTGACAGAGTTGCCAAGGGCACACAAGGGAAATGATAGTCTCTTTAAAAATGGCATAGAGAACACTGGATAACCACATGCAGAAGAATGAAATTGAACCATATTTCACCTTATTGAGAAATTGAACCTTATCTCACACCATGTTAAAAATTCAACCCAAAAAATCGATTAAAGACTTAAACATAAGGCCTGAAATTTTTAAATTACTGGAAGAAAACAGGGGAAAACCTTCTTGACATTGATCTTTGCAATGACTTTTTGGATATGACGCCAAAAACACAGGAAACAAAAGCAAAAATAGACAAATGGGATTGTATGAAAATAAAAACCTTCTGCACAGATAAAGATACAATCAATGGAGTGAAGAGATAGCCTATTTAATGGGAGAAAATATTTGCAAGGCATATATTCAAAAAGAGGTTAATATTTGAAACAAAGAACTCAAACAGCTCAATAGCAAGAAAACAAATAAGCTGATTTCAAAATGGGCAAAGGACCTGAATAGGTATTTCTCAAAAGAAGACACAGAAACAGCCACCAAGTAGGTGAAACAATGTTCAACATCACTAATCATCAGGGAAATAAAAACCAAAACCACAATGAGGTATCACCTCACACTAGTTCAAATAGCTCTTACCAAAAAGAAAAAAGATAGTGAGTGTTGGTGAAGATGTAAGGAAAAGGGAACCCTTTTGCACTGTTAGTGAGAATGTTAATTGATACAGCCATTATAGAAAATACTATGGAGGTTTCTTTAAAAATTAAAAACAGAACTATCATATGATTCAGCAGTTCCACTTCTGAGTATATTTTCCAAAGGGAAAAAAAATCAGTATTTCAAACAGAGATCTGCACTCCCATGTTTATTGCAGCATTGTTCACAATAGCCAAGATATTGAATCAACCTAAGTGCTCATGAACAGACAAATGGATAAGGAAAAAGTAATGTATATTTATAATGGAATATTATTCAGACTTTAAAATTTTTTTTAAAAATTCTGTCATTTGTGACAACATGAATTAACCTAGAGGACATTATCCTGAGTGAAATAAACCAGACCCAGAAAGACAAGTACTGCATGATCTCATTCACATGTGGAATCTAAAAAAGTGGAACCCATAGAGCAGAGAGGGAAATGAAGAGATGTTGGTCAAAGTGTACAAAGATTTATTTATAAAGGATGAATAAGTTCTGGAGACCTAATATACAGCATGGTGACTATAATTAGTAACATCAAATTATAGACTTCAAATTTGCTAAGAGAGTAGATCATAAATGTTCTCACCACACAACAAAAGGTAACTCTGTGAGGTGATGGATATGTCAATTAACTTGATAGTGGTAATCATTTTACAACATGTACATATATCAAAACATCACATTGTACACATTAGATATATACAGTTTTATTTTGTCAATCATAACTCAGTAAAGCTGGGAGGGGAATAAGTAGTTGTGTATATATTAAATATAGCTCCTTGCACTTTGGGAGCTTTGCACACCTGAGGTCAAGAGTTCAAGACCAGCTTGGGCAACATGGTAAAACCACGTACCTACTAAAACTACAAAAATTAGCTGGGCATGGTGGCATGTGCCTGAGGCAGGAGTAATGCTTGAACCCGGGAGGCGGAGGTTGCACTCAGCTGTGATCATGTCACTGCCCTCCAGCCTGGGCGACAGAGTGAGACTCTGTCTCAAAATAAAAAGTAGCTTCCCTTTCACTTTGCCTTCAACCTGCTTCAGATACAGGGTGACAAATGTTCTCATGTGAATTATCAATTTGCCGCGGACCTTGCTGGACTGAACAAAGTAGGACAAACCTGGGAATAAAGACAAAGACAAAAGAGTATATTTGGAAGAAGGGGTCGGGGGCTCCTTGCTTCTAGTGAACAAGGGCCCTGAGCTTCTATAGCCCTTCATATTTATTGAGTAAATGAGATAGGGAGAAGGGGGTGGTTGTGGTCAGCTGCTTGACTGGGTGCAGGCCTGCAGGACTGCATTCTTTGAACAGTAGTCTCCAGGTATTCCAGTAGATAACCTCAAGGAGCATGACACCAGGGAGTAACTGCCCTCAGCAAACCTTCTGGCAGCAGGTGCAGTCGCAAGTTTGCCCACATTCTGCATTCATGATAAAGTTTGCTGTTCGATCATATAGCCTCCAGCAGAATGCTGTGTTGGTCACGACCCACAGACCTTCAGCTTCCTACATCAGTTGATTTGTTTTGTGTAGTTATAAAGCCTTATTGTGTCCAACTGAGTCCTTCACATGCATGCTACTGTTATATTTGCCCAAAATTATACTGTGTGAATGTTACAGTTTGAGTTCTTTGGGAAACATACACTGAGGAAGTTTATTGAAAAGAGCTCTTGGCCTCAACAGCTGAGGAGGAGGAAGGAATTAGAACTGGACAGAGTGGGTAGAAGAACTGCACTGTAGTCACACAGAGGCCCCAGATGATCCTGCTGGGAGTTCCACGGCTGAGATAGGCCTTCAGCTTAACCTCAAGTTGAGGCAAGGAATCCAGTCTTTATATTCTGTCTTGGGCCAGTCATTAGACTCAGGCTAACTGGGAAGCGGGTGAGGTATAACTTTAGGCCAGGCTATTCTCTTCAACTTCCTGGAGAGGGACTCAGTTGAGAGCATTGAACCACCAACCTCTCAGCAACTGAGGGAATGAGTGTTGTGTGCTGGTTTAGGACAAGGGTAATATTCAAATATTTAATATTCAGTAATGACCCATCAAATGAGGTCCCCGATAAATGGCCCCCAGATGTTGGGAACTTTTTGGATACCAGCCCTCACTTAGGGTATTCCCTTTCTTGGAAAGGGGACATAGGCACTGCCCACTGAGCCCTGTGGAATTATTAGTCCATTTTTAAAAAACAGATCTACAAAACTTGACAGAAGTTTGATAAGCTAAATGACCACAAAGAAGATATTTTCAGTTCAATCAAAATAAAAATATAAACAGAGAAAACACTTTGGTTCTGCATGACGTTCTTCTAAAACAATCAACTCTGAATGCCATTCACTTAGAAGAGTAAAGATAAAAAGTCATTATCTAAATGAAATCAGATGTGACATTTTACAATGACACTCTCCATTTTTCATAGGGTATTAGTTACCCTTTCAAAGCAAGAAATCAAACATTTGGTCCATGGGGAAATTTGTTTCCCACCTACCTGGGTTTACAGACTGTGACTTTTTTACCCCAAGTTTCAGGTCTAGCTGAAACAGTGAAGAGGTATTTTGAACTAACTACAGTTTATTTTCTTTGAGTTCTCCAATGGTGAAGGGTTTTGTTCTCTACGCTATTAAGAACCAGGTTAGCTGATAGACACTGCAGCTACGAGGACTAACAGGGCCCCTATTTTAAAGAATATTGCAAAATAAGAGGATGTGGATATTAAGAGCACTGGCTTTTATTATTTGCAATTTAGAAATTATAGCGGGTGCATCTTTTGTTGAGAAATATCTTTACAGTAATATTTATCAAGTAATGAATATTAGAATAAAGATTTTTAAAATACCCTATTTATGTTTTTCAATTTTCAGAACAAATGTATTACTTCCGGTCACACAATCTTGTTTTCACATAATTTAGAAACATAGTCTAGAATATAATTTTCAAATTCTTAATATAAATCCTGGAAGTCCATTCACTTGTGAACTTCCACTAGGAGGAGCTACGGGAACACGGAGCAGATCCTCAAATGCACAGGCATGGGCAAACAGCAGTGATGGGAAAGCTACCCAGTGAGCAAAACTTAACTTGAAGACCAGTGTAATATGAAGGAGAACAGATGCTACATAGATCATCTTATTATTTTTAGTTTTGGTGCCTCCCAAAGAAGATGTGCCTTTGGGCACATCTTGAAGAGAAATATAATGGTGTAGAAGTAACAATAGATTCTACTCTTATCTAAAGAGCAGTTTAAGGGCAAATATCACAGGACAACTGTAAAATGTATCATATAAAGATGACAATCTCTTAACACCCTTCCCTCATTTCCTTCTCCATTATGTTATCTTGGGTGTTCAAATCCCAGAACAATAAAGGGCCATCAAATGCCTCTTTCATTACTTTTGCAATGACTTGATTAATATATGCCATAAATCGTGACTCATAAACTATTAGAAAACCAGAGCAGTCTTAGAAAAAGCCCAGGTTTGCAGCTCTACCATATATATACTCTATGTAATCTTGAACAAGTCACCTGATCTCTCTTCTGTCAGATGAAGATAACAGAGTGGATCATGACAGTTGTGAACACCATGGATAATATTTGAAAAATGCTTGATACATCTTTAGCTCTTAATAAAAGGCAATTATTGAGGAGTTATAGAAGAGTCCCAGAGTATGGCCTAGCCTCAAATATCTTGCTGATCCAATAAATGAATGCTGACCCTGGGAGTTCATGTAGTATAGAGGAAGTGATGAAGTTGCATTTTACAAGAATGCTTTTGGCCAAGGCACTCCAACCAAGCAGAAAACTTTTTGTTAAATATATCTGCTCTCTACCTGTTATATTCCTCCCTCTAAATGTTAGGCAACTTGGTTGCCCCTCCCTAAAGTCTCTGCCCCATCTCTGTATCCAGGGTCAATTTTTTTTCATTGTCAGTGGGAAGTAAAGAAGCTCCGGGTCCACATTGCAGTGAATTTACCTCAAGAACAAATTATTTCTGATGCAGTACTAAACTGGAGCCATAGTTTTAGAGACTGGGATCCTTCCTTTAACCCAAATACTTACCAAATGGCCATTATTCCCCATCTTAATTAACCCTATAGGCCACCCAATTTAAAGTGGCCATCCAGTCAATGTTGCATTATCCTCAGACACCAAACCCCTGACATTGACCCGAGTCCTAGGCAGAGACCCTGGCACATCAGCTATGAATGTGTGCCACTTACATCTCTTATCAGAAAAGAACTTGTTGCTTATCTGTAGAGCATGCAGAGTGCCTCTAACTGCAGTGTCTCCAGGATCTGGCCTCAGCTGGAGAGCTTCAAACCACAAAGTAGGCCTGGCGAAGTCCAGATAATCCAATAGGGATCTTCAGAGCAAAGATTGTTCTTTACAGAAGACTTAGACTGAGAAGAAGTGGTCAGGCCCAATAGCCCCATGGTGCTTAGTTATCAGAACAGCTCCTCAGGCAGAGTCTGGCTTGGCATCTCAATGCCTGCTCTCCAGAGGACCCAACTGACATAGTCACCCACTTACCACTTCTTCCCTCTAGCTGCTAGCCCTAGTTACTGCCTCTCTCTGGGCAGGGGCTGATGCTTATTGGTTCAGGCTAGTGGAAAGCAACCATTCTATAGCATTTTCTGTCTACATATCAGCTACACATAAAGTAGAAGCGCTTTCTCATCCTAAAAGTCTGAACCCCAAAGATGCCTTTCTGAGGTCTCTACACACATTTCTTTTTCCAGAGGAAGACTCTTTAATAATAGCATCAACAATAACAACATTTACCTATATGCAGGACATTATAACTTTCAACACAATTTCATAAGCAATAGAATCATTATACTTTCAATCTAAGCAAATTCAATTATTCACATTGAGAAGAAAAAGTGAGAGAGAGCAACTTAAACAACCTGGTAATTCTGCCTGCCAGATAAACAAAATAAACCTTTCCTATGAGTGACTAATGCAGTCAAGCCTGAAAAAGTAATCACATGTTCCAGAAAACTTCAGAAAAATGCATGAATAATTTTAGGAGTTTTCTGACTAATGACAAAGAAGTGGAAGACTTTGCCTAGTTTTTCAGGTGAGTGGGTGGCATTGAAGTAATAAATTGAAGAATTAATACAAACTCCAGGAGGGATCCAAGATGGCCAGTTAGAAGCAGCTGCAGTCAGCAGCACTCACAGAGAGAAGTGAAAACGGGTGAATTCAGCACCTTCAACTGAAGCATCCAGGTTCTCGCACTGGGACTGACTAGGAAAACAGCTCAACCCATAGAGAACGAAAAAAAGCATACAGGGCCAATGGGTGCCAAGGAGCCAAAGGAATTCCCACCCAACCAAAGGAAGCAGTGAGTGATTATGCAACCCTGCCCAGAAAACCACACTTCTCCCAAGGATCTTTAGAACCCACAAATGAAGAGATTCCCTTGTGAGCCCATACCATCAGGACCTTAGGTCCAATACACAGAGTTGTGTGGAGTCTTGGCAGAGCAGTCACTCAGGCACACACAGAGATCCAAGAGGTTTTTTTGTTTGTTTGTTTGTTTGTTAGTTTTTGTGAGACAGAGTCTATCTCTGTCACCCGGGCTGGAGTGCAATGGCGCCATCTCGGCTCACTGCAAACTCCACCTCCTAGGTTCAGGCGATTCTTCTGCCTCAGCCTCCCAAGTAGCTGGGATTACAGGCGCCCACCACCACAGCTGGCTAATTTTTTGTATTTTTAGTAGAGATGGGATTTCACCATGTTGGCCAAGATGGTCTCGATCTCCTGAATTCATGATCTGCCCGCTTTGGCCTCCCAAAGTGCTAGGATTACAGGTGTGAGCTACCGTGCCTGGCCAACCCAAAAGTTTTATATACTCCAGCCCCAGGATCCCTGGCAAGGTGGGAAATATGTCTGTACATATCCCTAGAAAGGGAGCTGAATCCAGGGAGATAGGCAGTGAGGTTCTGTGGGCCCCACTTCTACACACTTCACAAGACCCATTGGCTTGAAATCCCAGCCAGCCAACAGCAGTGGATTGGAGTCTGCCTGAGACTGTCTGCGTTTGGCAAGGTAGGGGGATGGCCACCATCTCTGTGGTTGGTAGACTCAGTTGTTCCAGCCTGCCAGCTGTGGAGAATACAGAAGATCCAGACAAGGAAGGGTCCCCCACAATTTCCAAATAGTGGCCAGACTAGTTCTTTAAGTAGGACCCTGATCCATTCCTTCTCACTGGGAGGCACCTCCCTGCAGGGGCTTTGGCCACTCCAGCCAAGGTTCTATGGACAGCTTTGATCTCTCCTGTGTCAGAGCTCCCAAGGGGAGGGCCAACTGCCAGCTCTGCAGTTCAGTCTATTCAGCTGTTCCAAACTGCTGGCTTTGGAGAATACAGGCGGATGGATAAGGAAGAGTCCCCCCCAAATACAGCACACCTGCTCCACCAAAAAGCAGCTAGACTGCTTCTTTGGGTGCATCCCTGATCCCATTCCTCAAGACAGGGTGAGACCTTCCATGGGGGTCTCTAGCCACCTCCTACAGGTGTGTGCAGGCTCACAACAGGTCAGTACCCCCTGGGATGGAGCTTCCAGAGGAAGGAGGTGGCTGCCATTTTTTCTGGCTGCCATAGGACTGCAGAAGCCCTATGGTAGAGCGGCCTGAAAAGAAAAACAAAAAGAAAACAACAACAACATCAACAAAAAAGACCCCAAAAAGCCTCATTCAAATGTCAGCATCCTCAAAGATTAAAGGTAGATAAGCCCACAAAGATGAGAAAGAATTAATGCAAAAATGCTGAAAACTCAAAAAGCCAGAGTCCCTCTTCTCCTCCAAATGACTGCAACATCTCTCAGCAAGGGCACAGAACTGGGCTGAGACTGAGATGACTGACTTGACAGAAGTAGGCTTCAGAAGGTGGGTAATAACAAACTTTGCTGAGCTAAAGGAGCATGTTGTAGCCCAATACAAAGAAGCTAAAAATCATGATGAAACAATACAGGAGCTGATAGCCAGAATAGCCAGTTTAGAGAGGAACATAATCAACCTGATAGACAGGAGAAACACAACATGAGAAGTTCACAATGCAATCACAAGCATCATTAGCAGAATAGACCAAGTGGCGGAAAGGATCTCAGAGCTTGAAGACTGTCTTTCTGAAATAAGACAGGCAGACAACAATAGAGAAAAAAGAATGAAACAAACCTTCAAGAAATATGGGATTATGTAAAGAGACCGAACCTACCGCTGATTAGGGTACATGAAAGAGACAGGGAGAATGGAACCAAGTTGGAAAATGTCAGGCCTCTGAGCCCAAGCTAAGCCATCATATCCCCTGTGACCTGCACATACACATCCAGATGGCTGGTTCCTGCCTTAACTGATGACATTTCACCACAAAAGAAATGAAAATGGCCTGTTCCTGCCTTAACTGATGACATTATCTTGTGAAATTCCTTCTCCTGGCTCATCCTGGCTCAAAAGCTCCCCTACTGAGCACCTTGTGACCCCCACTCCTGCCCGCCAGAGAACAACCCCCCTTTGACTGTAATTTTCCTTTACCTACCCAAATCTTATAAAATGGCCCCACCCCATCTCCCTACGCTGACTCTCTTTTCGGACTCAGCACGCCTGCACCCAGATGATTAAAAGCTTTATTGCTCACACAAAGCCTGTTTGGTGGTCTCTTCACACGGACATGCTTGAAATTTGGTGCCATGATTCAGATCAGGGGACCTCCCTTGGGACATCAATCCCCTGTCCTTCTGCTCTTTGCTCCGTGAAAAAGATCCACCTATGACCTCGGGTCCTCAGACCCACCAGCCCAAGGAACATCTCACCAATTTTAAATCAGGTAAGTGGCCTCTTCTTACTGTCTTCTCCAACCTCTCTCACTATCCCTCAACCACTTTCTCCTTTCAATCTTGGCACCATCCTTCAATCTCTCCCTTCTCTTAATTTCAATTCCTTTCATTTTCTGGTAGAGACAAAGGAGACACGTTTTATCTGTGGACCCAAAACTCTGGCGGCGGTCACGGAGTCGGGAAGGCAGCCTTCCCTTGTGTTTAATCATTGCAGGGATACCTCTCTGATAATTCACCCACATTCCAGAGGTGTCTGACCACGCAGGGACACCTGCCTTGGTCCTTCACCCTTAGCGGCAAGTCCCACTTTTCTGGGGGAGGGACAAGAACCCTGACCCATTCTCTCCATGTCTCTACCCCTTTTCCACTTTTCTGGGGGTCAAGAACCCCCCAACCCCTTCTTCACCCTTAGTGGCAAGTACCACTTTTCTAGGGGGCAAAAACCCCCAGATCCCTTATTTCCACACCCTGACCTCTTATCTCTGCGCCCCACCCCTTATTTCCATGCCCCAACCTCTTATCTCTGTGCCCCAACCCCTTATTTCCATGCCCCGGCCCCTTTCCCACTTTTCTGGAGGGTAAGAACCCCTGAACCCCTTCCCTCCATGTCTCTACTCTCTTTTCTCTGGGCTTGTCTCCTTCACTATAGGCAACTTTCCACCCTCCATTCTTCCTTCTCCCTTAGCCTGTGTTCTCAAGAACTTAAAACCTCTTCAACTCACACCTGACCTAAAACCTAAATGCCTTATCTTCTTCTGCAACACCACTTGGCTCCAATACAAATTTGACGATGGCTCTAAATGGCCAGAAAATGGCACTTTTGATTTCTCCATCCTACAAGACCTAAATAATTCTTGTTGTAAAATGGGCAAACGGTCTGAGGTGCCTGACGTCCAGGCATTCTTTTACACATTGTTCCCTCCCTATTCTCTGTTCCCAATGCGACTTGTCCCAAATACTCCTTCTTTCCCTCCCACCTGTTCTCTCAGTCCCAACCTCAAGCTTCACTGAGTCTTTTTAATCTTTCTTTTCTACAGACCCATCTGACCTCTCCCCTCCTCCCCAGGCTGCCGCTCACCAGGCTGAGCCAGGTCCCAGTTCTACCTCAGCCTCTACTCCCCAACCCTATAATCCTTTTATCACCTCCTCTCCTCACACCTGGTCCAGCTTACAGTTTCATTCTGTGACTAGCCCTCCCTCACCTGCCCAGCAATTTCCTCTTAAAAATCTGGCTGAAGCTAAAGGCATAGTCAAGGTTAATTTTCCTTTTTCTTTATGCGACCTCTCCCAAATCAGTTAGCAGTTAGGCTCTTTCATCAAATATGAAAAACCCAGCCCAGTTCATGGCTCATTTGGCAGCAACACTGAGATGCTTTACAGTCCGAGACCCTAAAAGGTCAAAAGGCTGTCTTATTCTCAATATACATTTTATTACCCAATCCACTCCTGACTTTAAATAAAACTCCCAAAATTAAATTCCGGCCCTCAAACCCCACAACAGGACTTAATTAACCTCACCTTCAAGGTGTACAATAATAGAATAGAAGCAGCCAAGTAGCAACGTATTTCTGAGTTGCAATTCCTTGCCTCCGCTGTGAGACAAACCCCAGCCACATCTCCAGCACATGAGAACTCCAAATGCCCGAACCACAGCTGCCAGGGGTTCCTCCAGAACCTCCTCCCCCAGGAGCTTGCTACAAGTGCTGGAAATCTGGCCACAGGGCCAAGGAATGCCCACAGCCCGGGATTCCTCCTAAGGCGCATTCCACCTGTGTCGGACCCCACTGAAAATCAGACTGTTCAACTCACCTGGCAGCCACTCCCAGAGCCCCTGGAACTCTGACCTAAGGCTCTCTGACTGACTTCTTCCCAGATCTTCTCGGCTTAGCAGCTGAAGACTGACACTGCCTGATCGCCTCGGAAGCCTACAGGACAATCACAGATGCTCTAGGTAACTCTAACAATGGAGGGTAAGTCCGTCCCCTTCTTAGTCCATACAGAGGCTACCCACTACACATTACCTTCTTTTCAAGGGCCTGTTTCCCTTGCCTCCATAACTGTTGTAGGCATCGATGGCCAGGCTTCTAAGCCTCGTAAAACTCCCCAACTCTGGTGCCAACTTAGAAAACATTCTTTTATGCATTCTTTTTTAATTATCCACAACTGCCCAGTTCCCTTATTAGGCCAAGACATTTTAACTAAATTATCTGCTTCCCTGACTATTCCTGACTACAGCCGCATCTCATTGCTGCCCTTCTCCCCAACCCAAAGCCTCCTTTGTGTCTTCCTCTCATATCCCCCCACCTTAACCCACAAGTATGGGACATCTCTACTCCTTCCCTGGCAACTGATCACATGCCCATTACCATCCAATTAAAACCTAATCACCCTTACCCTGCTCAACGCCAATATCCCATCCCATAGCATGCTTTAAAAGGATTAAAGCCTGTTATCACTCACCTGCTACAGCATGGGCTTCTAAAACCTATAAACTCCCCTTACAATTCCCTCATTTCACCTGTCCTAAAACCAGACAAGGCTTACAGTTTAGTTCAAGATCTGTGCCTTATCAACCAAATTGTTTTGCCTATCCACCCCATGGTGTCAAACCCATATACTCTCCTATCCTCAATACCTCCCGCCACAATCCATTATTCTGTTCTAGATCTCAAACATGCTTTCTTTACTATTCCTTTGCACCCTTCATCCCAGCCTCTCTTCGCTTTCACTTGGACTGACCCTGACATCCATCAGGCTCAGCAAATTACCTGGGCTGTACTGCCGCAAGTCTTCACAGACAGCCCCCATTACTTCAGTTAAGCCCAAATTTCTTCCTCATCTGTTACCTATCTCGGCATAATTCTCATAAAAACACATGTGCTCTCCCTGCTGATCGTGTCCGGCTAATCTCCCAAACCCCAATCCCTTCTATAAAACAACAACTCCTTTCCTTCCTAGGCATGGTTAGTACGGGCAGAATTCTTACACAGGAGCCAGAACCGCACCCTGTAGCCTTTCGGCCCAAACAACTTGACCTTACTGTTTTAGCCTAGCCCTCATGTCTGCGTGCAACGGCTGCCACTGCTTTAATACTTTTAGAGGCCCTAAAAATCACAAACTGTGCTCAACTCACTCTCTACATTTCTCATAACTTCCAAGATCTATTTTCTTCCTCACACCTGACGCTCCCTGGCTCCTTCAGCTGTACTCACTCTTTGTTAAGTCTCCCACAATTACCATTGTTCCTGGCACGAACTTCAATCTAGCCTCCCACATTATTCTGGATACCACACCTGACCCTCATTACTGCATCTCTCTGATCCACCTGATGTTCACCCCATTTCCCCACATTTCCTTCTTCCCTGTTTCTCACCCTGATCACATTTGGTTTATTGATGGCAGTTCCACCAGGCCTAATCGCCACTCACCAGCAAAGGCAGACTATGCAATAGTATCTTCCACATCTGTTATTGAGGCTACCACTCTGTCCCCCTCCACTACCTCTCAGCAAGCCAAATTAGTTGCCTTAACTCAAGCCCTCACTCTTGCAAAAGGACTACGCATCAATATTTATACTGACTCTAAATATGCCTTTCATATTCTGCACCACCATGCTGTTATATAGGCTGAAAGAGGTTTCCTCACTACGCAAGGGTCCTCCATCATTAATGCCTCTTTAATAAAAACTCTGCTCAAGGCCGCTTTACTTCCAAAGGAAGCTGGAGTCATTCACTGCAAAGGCCATCAAAAGGTGTCAGATCCCATTGCTCCAGGCAACGCTTATGCTGATAAGGTGGCTAGACAAGCAGCTAGCTTTCCAACTTCTGTCCCTCACAGCCAGTTTTTCTCCTTCACATCAGTCACTCCCACCTACTCCCCCGCTGAAACTTCCACCTATCAATCTCTTCCACACAAGGCAAATAGTTCTTAGACCAAGGAAAATATCTCCTTCCAGCCTCACAGGCCCATTCTATTCTGTCGTCATTTCATAACTTCTTCCATGTAGGTTACAAGCCGCTAGCCCATCTCTTAGAACCTCTCGTTTCCTTTCCATCCTGGAAATCTATCCTCAAGGAAATCATTTCTCAGTGTTCCATTTGCTATTCTACTACCCCTCAGGGATTCTTCAGGCCTCCTCCCTTTCCTACACATCAAGCTCAAGGATTTGCCCCCACCCAGGACTGACAAATTGACCTCTCTCACATGCCCCGAGTCAGAAAACTAAAATACCTCTTAGTCTAGGTAGACACTTTCACTAGATAGGTAGAGGCCTTTCCTACAAGGTCTGAGAAGGCCACTGCAGTCATTTCTTCCCTTCTGTCAGACATAATTCCTCCATTTGGCCTTCCCACCTCTATACATCATGATAGCAGACCAGCCTTTATTAGTCAAATCAGCCAAGCATTTTTTCAGGCTCTTAGTATCAAATGAAACCTTTATATCCCTTATGGTCCTCAGTCTTCAGGAAAAGTAGAACAGACTAAAGGTCTTTTAAAAACACACCTCACCAAGCTCAGCCACCAACTTAAAGAGGACTGGACAATACTTTTACCACTTTCCATTCTCAGAATTCAAGCCTGTCCTTAGAATGGTACAGGGTACAGCCCATTTGAGCTCCTGTATAGACGCTCCTTTCTATTAAGCCCCAGTCTCATTCCAGACACCAAACCAACTTGGACTGTACCCCCGAAAAACTTGTCATCCCTACTATCTTCTGTCTAGTCATACTCCTATTCACCGTTCTCAACTACTCATACATGCCCTGCTCTTGTTTACACTGCCGGTTTACACTGTTTCTCCAAGCCATCACAGCAGATATCTCCTGGTGCTATCCCCAAACTGCCACTCTTAACTCTTGAAGTAAATAAATACTCTTTGCTGGCAGAACTATGCTGAATCTCCTTAGGCACTCTCTAATTAGATGTCCTAGCTTCTTCCAATTCTTAGACCTTTAATACCTGTTTTTCTCCTTCTCTTATTCCGTTTAGTTTTTCAATTCATACAAAACCGTATCCAGGCCATCACCAATAATTCTAAATGACTAATGTTTCTTCTAACAGTCCCACAATATCACCCCTTACCACAAAATCTCCCTTCAGCTTAATCTCTCCCACTCTAGGTTCCCACACCACCCCTAATCCCACTCGAAGCAGCCCTGAGAAACATCGCCCATTATTTCTCCATACCATCCCCCAAAATTTTCGCTGTCCCAACACTTTACCACTATTTTGATTTATCTTTCTTATTAATATAAGAAGACAGGAATGTCAGGCCTCTGAGCCCAAGCTAAGCCATCATATTCCCTGTGACCTGCACGTACACATCCATATGGCCTGTTCCTGCCTTGACTAATGACATTCCACCACAAAAGAAATGAAAATGGCCTGCTCCTGCCTGAACTGATGACATTATCTTGTGAAATTCCTTCTCCTGGCTCATCCTGGCTCAAAAGCTCCCCTACCGAGCACTTCATGACCCTCCACTCCTGCCTGCCAGAGAACAACCCCCCTTTTTCCTTTACCTACCCAAATCCTATAAAACGGCCCCACCCCTATCTCCCTTCGCTGACTCTCTTTTCGGACTCAGCCCTCCTGCACCCAGGTGAAATAAACAGCCTTGTTGCTCACACAAAGCCTGTTTGCTGGTCTCTTCACACGGACGCACATGAAAATACTAATGCTGATACTGCTTTATTTGTTTGTTTATTTTTGATACAGGGTCTTGCTTTGTTGCCCAGGCTGGAGTGCAATGGCTTGATCATAGCTCACTGCAACCTTGAACTACTGGACTCAAGGGATCCTCCTGCCTCAGACTCCCGAGTAGGTGGGAAGACAGGTGCACATCACCACACCCAGCTAATTAAAAAAAAAAATTTTTTTTTGTAGAGATGGGGGTCTCGCTTTGTTGCTTAGGCTGGTCTTGAACTCCTGGCATCAAGTAATCCTCCCATCTTGGCCCTCACTTGCCACTATGCCCAGTCTGATGCTGTTTTTGCTGTTGGATTTAAGACTATAATATTACACTACCTTCCACATACTCTATTCAAGCTTCACCGCATCCTTTGTTTGGACTTGATTTCACTATAGAAGCCAACATATTCATTAGATTTTATATGACTGTTATTCACAAATACCAGAAGGTATCATGCATAGGGTCATTGTTTCCCCAGACCTTGCGCCCCAAAGCAATAATTCTACCAAGAACAGGCAGGATATCTAACTCCCCCAGCCTCCAGCCAGAACATAATAGGACAATGTGCACGGGAGAAAAAAAAACCTAATGATTTCTCTTTTATTGTTGTATAGCTCCTGGGGTCCTCATCTATATACGCCCACTCCAGCAGGACCTGATAAACTTAGCAGAGCGAGATAGCAGAAACGTTCCATTTATTTTGCTCCAGCAGAAAGGGTTAAACATAATAGTAACAAAAGCTTTTTGTAAATGTTCAAAATGAATTTTAGCTTCTCATAAACATCATATAGGGTAGATTCAAGAGTTTTAAAATTCATTCAGACCCTTTATACACAGCAAGCCAAATCACTCCCCAGTGAGCAAGCTGCAGGTGGTAGGTTTCCAGGGACTTGCAATGACTGGTGAATCCTCAACAGGGGAACTAGAAATAGAGAACAGTTTATCAGTCAGACAAAATTAACCACCTCCACCCACTGCCAAGTGCAGACAGTCTAAAAGTCATAAGCCAAATGACCCTCTAAGGTGGTCCATCCCAGGGTAAGTAACAAATTAGATTACTTATGCTGCTTTATAGTTTTCAGGTCACCTTTGAATATGTTAGCCTCTGACTTTAACACATTTGTTGAGTATTTAACTGTGTTCTAATTTTTTATCTTCACAACAATCCTATTTCACAGATGAGGAAACAGAGGCAGATTTAAAAACTTACCTAAGTAAAACAGCTGATATGGCCAGAATTCATTGTCTGTGTCACCTTTACAGAAGATCCAGAATGCAAGTTCAATGAACATTTTTGTTACGTTCACCTTGTATCTCCAGTGTCTAGGACACTCACTAGCACATGAAATGAATTCAATAAATATATTTTGCGTACATAAGTGACTCCTTCTACTAGACAATTCTCTTTCAAATTCTATTCATAAATTAAAGAAAGCTTATCATTACATCTAGAGCCTGCAAGGGAAAAAAAAACGCAACATTGCTTAAAATAATTGTTTTTTTTTTCTAAGTGCTTTAAGTGCAAACATTTCCCACAGGTAAGAAGACAGCATTGTAAAAACTATGTATGTAGTTACACGTTCATTTTAAAGAGACCTTTTATCTGTTCTTCTTGCTCACATATCTTTATAATAATTCTTATAATGGAAAACCACAGAAGTCCCATGGCAACAGGGCCTATGCTTTGTCAAGATGAGACGCAGGTTTCATCATTTTGTGATTTGATTTACCCAGGAAGCAAGGAAGAGGAACTGAAGGAAGAGATAAAAAAGAAAACAAAGGAAAACAAGGACAATCATTATCTCAGTGAATCATCAATATTTTCTAGATGGATGCTTCCATGGAGTTAATAAGTTGGTAGGCAGTCTAATATATCTCCTATTCTCCCACTGCCTACCATGGTAATTTACTGTCCTCCTTAGTATTTCCGCAAACACACCTAGATACTGCCTTCATCCCTGGCAACTTCCAATGCCACCCACAAATAGTGCCATGATTTGCCTGATTTAACACATGAATGAACACCCACAGTGTCCTTTGACTTCTGTCTCTGAGCTCCCCTTACTCCCTTCCTGTCTCTGATCTCTCCTCCCTTCCCCCTAAATGCCTCCATCCTCCAAGGTTCCATCTCAGTTCTCTGCATCTGGGCACTCAGCACCCGCCCAGTGATATTATGCCTTGTCACAGCATCAGTACTCTCCCTTTGCAAATCTCGATCTCCAGGACTAGCTCTATTAAGGGCCATAACATCTTCCCAAAGGGACGGTAGATCAGAGCTCAAATGCCACAGAAATGGGGACAAAGGGAAGAACTGAGATAAGGCCACTTGCTGTGGGATTTAGGAGGTCATAGGTGATGTGCAGGAGAACAGGTTTATGAAGTGTCTCGATAAGCCATATTAGGAAGCTATGTATTGTCTGTCCAGCCAAAAAAGAAAATAAAAACTGGACTACCCTCTAATCTTTCCCCATTTTGACATTACCCTTCTTATCCAACCTTTCTTCTTCAACTACTCATGAACACAGGATCTCAGTCAATCTCATACTTTGCTTCTTACCTTCCCTACTACTGTTAATTACATTTCATCCATTCCCAGAGGCTTATCTCACATTTTACTCTGTCTGCTGGCAATCCTTTGGATCCCTCTGAATTACTGAATTCAGTGGATCATACTGAACTACTCCTCCTTAGTATATCCTAGGCTATTTCCCTTTTGTTGTGAACTGAACCTAATTCAATTTGAACATGCACAATTCTTAAAATAGGTAATTTTTATAGGTAACCCTAATCTCTAAAAATGTGATGTGTGTGAGAGTTACCTTCTCCCCCTACAATCTCTCTACTGGACTATAATAAAAGCAAGTCTCTGACCAAATTCTGTTACATGCTTTTTGTTTGTTTGTTTGTTTGTTTGTTTGTTTGAGATGGAGTCTCCCTCTGCTCCCAGGCTGGAGTGAGGTGATGAAATCTTGGCTCACTGCAACCTCCGCCTCCCAGGCTCAAGCAATTCTCATGCCTCAGCCTCCCAAGTAGCTGGGACTACAGGCATGCACTACCATGCCCAGCTAATTTTTGTATTTTCAGTAGAGATGTATTTTAGTTGCCCAGGCTGGTCTTGAGCTCCTGAGCTCAGGTGATCCACCTGCCGAGGCCTCCCAAAGTGCTACAATTACAAGCGTGAGCCACTGCACCAGCCATGGATATGCTTACTAAACAAGTATTTATTAGCAAGCAGGCACACAAGTGTTCATACAATCTGCTTGCAAACTCCACGAACTCCGATTCTCTGTGCTTTTAGTGTTCCGATTACCAGCATACATCAAATGCTTAATTGAGAAAAAATGATAATATTCTAGAGGATGGATTCTGTTTCCTTCAGTTGACATCAGGAACCAGAATCCTCTGACCCAATTGCTGGACCCAGGGGAGGATTAAATCTTGGATGTCATCCCTACTGGCCTCATTAGATTCTTATATTTTGTTGATGTAAAGGTAGAAGAGTGAGGAGTGTTTCAAAGTTATGTTAACCAATTTATTCATTTGAATACCTTGAATTTCACCAATAAGAACTCATTTCTTATATTTGGTGTGTTTTTAAGCAAAGTGTCACATGTAAGTTGACATTGTTTGTTTAACAAACACTTGTATAACATCTACTATGTGGCAGATACTAATCTAAACACTGCACATATTAACACATTTAAACCTCATAGCAGCCTATAAAGTAGGCACTAATATTATCCCCATTCTACAGATGCAGGAACTGGCATGCAGATAAGTTAAGTTACTGAGATGTTTTAACTAGTAAATAGCAGAGCCAGGATTTGAATTGAGGCAGTCCGATTCCAGGGTTCATGGTCTTCACAAGTTCCCTGGTCATGGAAGTGTCTGTAAAAGTTGCCTCTCAATATAGACTTCCTTATTGGAATGCTAGCTGGCCCAATTGGAAAAATAGGACTATCTGGGCTGTGGCTTAACCTAACTAATAATGATAGCCTTAATTTCCCACTCTTTATATTAAAGTATTTAAAGTAAATAACTAACACAACACTAATTAACTCTGCTTTATTAGTATTTCAGCAGAGAAGGCTAGTTTTACTACAGCGTACTCACTATTTAGACTTGTAGAACTCTAATTTTAACTTTTTTAATTTTTATTTTTCTCAAAACAGATTCTTGCTCTGTTGCCCAGGCTGGAGTGCAATAGCATGATCATAGCTCACTGTGGCCTCAAACTCTTGGGCTCACGTGATCCTCCCACCTCAGCCTCCTGAGTACCTGGGACCACAGTCATGAACCACTGCACTCAACTAGGCTTGCAGATCTTGATTCTTGAGCCCTTCTGAACTTTTCAGTTTCCGATTTACATCACCACTGTCAGATGACGATGTAGCTTTTGCTTAAACGTACCCATTCGAGAGTACTCACTCTCTTGGGGCCGCCATCATGTTGGTACTCATTTCTGGCTGTTGGAAAGTTCCTTCTTGCATTAAATGGGAATTTTTCTTATAAACATCCACTGAATTGATCACAGTTCCATATGACCATTAAGGAGTCAAATTTATGGAAATAAGATATGCTTCACACAAGACAGTAACAAAGACATGATGTTTCCCCAGCGGTGCACGCTGCCCTCATGAAGAGTATGGGTCACTGGGGAAAAGTCTATTGTGACGGGGTAGAGACTCAGCAAGCTCATGAATATAGGAGTCAGAGAAGAGAGGTCAGTAAGGACTGCTGTGCTTAGGGAGGGTTTTGGCAGAGGTGTTGCCAGACTGACTAGGTTCATAGAACACACACAAAAAATTGGTGAATGAATTAATGATGGATGGATATTAATACGTGATGTCTAAGCATGGTTTCATTTATCAGAATTCCTGATTCCTGCTTCTGATTGATCAAGATCCAGCTGTGGAAACACCCTCCAAAGAGGGAAATTGCCAATTTCTCACAGTTTGAGACAGAAATACGGACTAAGCAAGCCTTGAGTGATTGTTTCATGCTTCTGAACTTGCCTCCAATGAGCTGCTGATTTTGAACTGCAAGTTGGGGCTTGCTAAGTGGTTTATACTGATCAGGGTTGCTGTGTATGCCCATGCAAGGTATGAAGAAGAACCTATAGATTTGTCCAAGTTTGAAAATCCAAGTCTTCACATTAACATTAAGAATAACAGAAAGAGTATTACTAACAATAATCTTGGGCAGTCTTTCACAATTGTAAACATTCAGTCCTTTTAACCCAGATTCACACAGAATTCTTTATATGAATAGAGATTCACAGAAGTTGTGACATTTCTAAAATCAAACATTTAGTGAATACCAAATCCGATACCAGAGTCCAGGTATTTCAGACACTGGTTCAAACAGTAAACATAGAACCATGAGTTAAAAAAATAATGTTGCTCTGTACGCTTAATATCTGTGCATTTCACTGCATATAAATTGTACCTCAATGAAAATACACTTTAGTAATTGCCAAAAACAGATGATTGAGCCTGTTATAAAGGCGAATAGTAAATGGAAGAAGAATCTATGGAGTGCCTTCACTCTGCCCGACCCTGTGGTCATTGTGTTCTGTTCATCCTCTCACTGTCCTCTCCTAGAAGTCAAGGATCTGCAATTTACAGATAAAGAACGTAAGTCTTGGAGAAATAACTTACCTTCATAGGAGACCTGAGATTCTAAACCAAATGTTGATAACTCCAAAATCAGTGCTTTTTCTACGTTATTAGTTTTTCCCAAAAATGTGCTATGGATACCCCCTGGCAGTACATGTGATAATTTTTGGTGTACAAAGATAGACATTTTCTGTGTTAATTTAATGTGAATTTGGTGTGAATAAAACAGTTTTTAAGGGCATGATACAAAATATCTTTAAAATTAAATGTATTGAAGTTTCTTAAATGTTCAATTTAAAGGAAAACATAAAATATTACCAATAATAATACAATTGGTTTGCAGATAAGTTTCTATATGGTGCCATGGCAAAAATTTAAAAGGCAGCATCAGAATGTCTGAAATTTGAGAAACCTAGAGCTGCGTCATGCTGCCTCCTCACAAAGCAATTAACAACTTGGTCAGCAGCTTAAATTGAGCCCCAAACTGTTATCCACGATACTTTCTGTACCTGGAAAAAAAAAATTCCAGAGGAGTGATATGAGCAAGATGGCGGAACAGAACATCTACAGTCCTCATCTCCAATAGAAACATGGATCTGGCAACTATCCACAGACAAAAGTGCCTTTAAGGGAGCTTCAGAATCCAGATAGGAAGTTTCCACACACCAGTGGAGCCCAAAACTGAGAAAAGCCACTTAAAGAAGACAGGCCTGTGCCTTGTTAGTAGGCTTACTGACCACAGAGCCAGCTGCAGAACAGGAAGCAGCCCCATCCCCTGTGGTTGGGGCTCCAGCCCTACTGGTCCACAGTCCTGCCACCAGCCCTGTCCGTGTGTGGAAGCAGCAGGAGCCATGCCCATTCACGCTCCCAGTGGTAGGGCCCAACAACCACAGACTCAAATGCAGACCGAGAGCAGCTTTATGATCCAGCTCTAGCCCCACTCAACCACAGTCTCAGAGGCAGTTTGTTTGAGACCTGACAAGGGAAGGTCTTTTACTGCTAAAATCAGCCTGTAAAGATTAAAAGAGATGGCTCCTCCTTCAAAAGCACCAACACCAATGCAAGTCCACAAGGATCAAGAAGAATTAGATAAACATGACACCACCAAGGGAAACTAATAAATCTCTATTCAACTCTAAAGAAACAGAGATCCATGAACTGTCTGAAAAATAACTCAAAATAAACATCTTAAAGAAGCTCAATAACTGCAAACACATGAGCACATGAGCACTGTTAAACACCTGAAATGATGATGAATAAATGGATGGATGGTGCCAGAAACTGTCTTGAAAAGAAAGAGAAGAATAACAAATATAATAAAAGCACAACTTGTTGCAAAATGGTCCCTGAAACACCAAAGAGTGAAATTCTAGCTGCCAAGAGGGAGCAGCAGAGAGTTGTTTCCAGGGCTCTGAAAGTCAGCAGGATAGCTCCTTAGTGCTTTCCAGCCAGAATTACAGCCTAGATCACAAACTCTGCAGTGGACGATGCTTTTGGACTTAAAGGACCTAAGAAGATCACACTATTAGCCAAAAATGGGTGCATAAGTGGAGGTATGTAAGAGTTCTCTATCACCTACAGATTAAATCCAGGCCTTTTAGAAAGGCAGACAATTTCCTCGATACCAAGACCCCACCCACCATTTAGGCATCAGCTCCTACCTATTTCCACTCTGGTAATGAGGAATTTGCGTGTAGTTCTTCACACACACGATGGCATGTCATCTCTCAGCAAATGTGCCCCTGCTGATCTCTCACCTTACAATGGACTCTCTGCCTTTGCTTAACTGTCTAGCCTCCCCTTCCAAATTTTAGCTCAGATATTATTTCCTCTCAGAAGTCTTGAAATCTTTCTGATCCCTTTTTGTTGGGGGAGAGGGGTTTAAGCGTCCAACTCTACACACCCAGTGATCCTCATGCTGAATATCAGTGCTGACTGCTGTCCTATGACCCAGTCCGGGAAACCTCTTCCCTGGGCTCTGAACTATGCAGGGCCATGATCCTCCACTTCATGGAGAATTCTCAGGGCCAAGTAAAATGCCCCCCCAGGGCTCTACCTATCCCTTTCAGATTATGCTGTAGGTTCCCTGGACCCAGAATTTTCTGTCCAAATGGCTCAGAATTCACTTCCAAAGCCTCAGGGTATGCACGCCTAGGCTGAGGAGTAGCCAAAGCCACCTGTTTGTGTCCATGTGGATGCATTCTGAATATTCAGGTTGGAGTATCCACAGGTGTGCTTGTGAGGCCCCTTACAGTGCGGAAGCAGCCAGAAAAGGAAAGAGAGGAAGTCAGGCTACAGGTCAGCAACTGGTTTTCCCTTCACTGCTATGTTTCTGTGTAGAACTCCAAGGGGTTCCATAATTCTAAATTCATATTTGCCTGAACAGGTATCTTTATCAAAGCAGGAGGATATAACATATCTTATTTAGCAATGGTCTGCTAGCCTGATTTATCAATGCCAAATCTCTAGATATATATGACATATGGGCTTCATCTTTGCCCTAGGCCCTGAAAATGTTAGGAGTGGGCCTGTCATGTTAACATCTATCTGAGCACTGACCAACATTTATTGAAATGTTCTTGCTTACAAGAACCCTCATCTACTAGGACAAGACCATCTAAAGGACAAGGATCATTTTTCTGTCCCCAGGGTCTAGCCCTGTACCTAATGAATAATAGATTCCTAACATCTACCAGCAAATATGTATTTAACTGGACAGAACTGAGAGGATGAAGCTCAAGGCCCAGCAAATATGTATTGAACTGGACAGAACTGAGAAGATGAGCCCAAGGCCCAGTCAGAGCCACTGAGTCATCTTTAGGAGTGAGGAAAAAAATGAGGCAGGGTAGGCAGACCTAATGCTGGGTGCCCTTTGCCTTCTGCCCAGGGTTCCCTCCAGAATGCTTGACTCCTGTTAAAAAGGGGGTAATAAGTACTTAGAAGAAATAAACCCTAAAGGCTGACAGAAGAGAGTGATAGCTTTTACTTTCATATGTTGCCTAAGCTTTTGGTACTAAAAAAGAGTAGTAAATGATAATAAAATCATCTTATAGCAAATGTACAAAATATACAAATTAAAATTCTTTGCCTAAGAAATTAGCGAATGAAATACAAAAATAAGAATCTGGTAATCAACTTTCTATATAGGCAGGCACCGTGAAGCTAAAGACTGCTCCATCTTCTAAACTCTTCTCTAAATACCTGTCGGCCAACATATAACCCTACCCCACACCAAGCTCCTCATGGCAAACATCACAGACTCACAAAGTAGAGGGAAATGGCACGACACCAAAAAAACTTATAATAACATCCCATTCTAGATTTAAGAGGATATCAGACTTCTTTCCTTGCCCCTGCTTCTCTCTCTAACTAAAATCATTTAACCGAAATTAATTTTTCCCAAGTATTTATAAAGCAGCTATAATATTCAAGGCTCTAGTCTATACTCTTGAGAGAAAACATCTTAAAAACTGACCCAATCCCTGACTTCATGTAGCTTCCTTTCTAATGGGTGAGTCTCAGCCTTGGCTACCCATTAAAGGCAGAACTAACAGGCAAAGTGCAAGAGAGTCAGGAGATTTGGTGGGTAAAGTTCATGGAGTTTCCCTCTGATTGCCCCTGCTTTCTCAATGAAGTATGAGGCAAGGACATCAGCTAAAAGCAAGTGGGTGTCCCATTTAACTAGGCTGGCAGTGAGGGACAGCACCTCTGCTTTAGCAAAGGCCTTGATTCTGCATGCGAGAAGCCATTGGAAGACCAAGAGGAAATGAAGTAGGGAGCTCTGGTACTCACTTTATGGTTAAAGGATAGAAAAGGAAAAGGGACTCTCAGGCCCAATTCTAGACTGTGCCTTCCAGCTAGAGTCACCAGATTTAGCAAATAAAAATGTTTTAGCTGGGAACCTTACAGCCCAGCTCATCAGGATACAAAGGAAATATGAGTTCAGAACCCAGACTCCAGCTAGGTATGAAGAAATTATCTGGTTGGGATGCCATAATGCTTGACTTCTCTCTCGGTGACCTGAATGACCTGAGCATGGTCAGTGGATACACAATAGTAAGGGGTGCCTCCAGTGCTGGTCCCCACCGCTGCTTCAACATCAGTGAGAAGAAGAAAACCAGGGTGTTGTCTCAAATTATTTTTACCCACAACTACAGTTCTCTAGCAGCCTCAGAGGTCCTTGGTAAGAAAGAGAAAACCAAGCTGCACCCACTGTAGTTTTTATTGTAACCAGAGCTTCTGAATCTATGTCGCAGCCCTGCCATGTTTTCCTGAATCAGAGCTTCTTGTGGCTTTATTATGCTGGTGAGTAAGCCAAAGTGGTGTGACACAGTGTTAGGGCATAGCATTTGGAGTGAGACACTCCTAGACTTATTCACTCAGCAAATATTGTAGGCACATGCTTCACTCTTATGTACCTTGTCTCTTAATCCTCTGTGGGCAAAAGATTACCTAGGTGTCAAGGCAAGAGACTGAAGACACAAACTGTTTCAGTAAATAAAGAAAATAGTTAGAATAAGAATAGTCATAATACAAATTAGATATAGAGATGATCATGGACAATTATCAATCATTATTATAAACATTATTTAATCATTAGCTTTTAATATTACTCTTTGTTGCATTACTAATATAACCTAGGAATAACCGGCGGGTATAGGGTCAGGTGCTGAAGGGACGTTGTGAGAAGTGACCTACAAGGCAAGAGGTGAGCCCTCTGTCACGCCCGCATAAGGGCCCCTTGAGGGCTCCTTGGTCAAGTGGTAATGCCACTGTCTTGGAAGACATCCATTACTTAGCAGACCGCGAAAGGGAGTCTCCTTTCCTTGGAGGAGTCAGGGAACACTCTGCTCCACCAGCTTCTGGATATTATCCAGGTCCACCCGCAGTCATCCGGAGGCCTAAACCCCTCCCTGTGGTGCTGTGCTTCAGTGGTCATGCTCCTTGTCCACTTTCATGTTCCTCCCGTACTCCTGGTTCCTCTTTGAAGTTCGTAGTAGATAACGGTAGAAGAAATAGTGAAAGTCTTAAAGTCTGTGATCTTTCTTATAAGTGCATAGAAGAAAATGCTGACATATGCTGCCTTCTCTCTCTGCTTCGGCTTCGGCTCCTGAAAGGGAAGGGGCCACTGTCCTATGATCACGTGACTTGCTTCACCTTATCGATCACTTAGAAGATTCACCCTCCTTACCCTGCCCCCCTTGTCTTGTATGCAATAAATATCAGTGCACCCAGCCTTTCGGGGCCACTACTGGTCTCTGCATCTTGATGGTAGTGGTCCCCCAGGCCCAGCTGCCTTCTCTTTATTTCTTTGTTTTGTGTCTTTATTTATTACAATCTCTCGTCTCCGCACACGGAGAGAACACCCACTAAGCCCCGTAGGGCTGGACCCTACAATCCTCTCTCTGCATTAAATATTATCTTTTCCATTTCACAGGTAGGGAAATCGAATCTTAGCAAGTCTGAGAAACATGCCTAAGATCTCAGCTAGTACAGAGCCAGGAAGAAAACTCAGGTCTATATGACTCCAAGCCCTTGCTCCTAACTACACATTTTACTGTTTTGGGATTTGAACCCTAGCCCTATCGTGCACCCATTGTGCAACTTTGGGTTAAATAACATCTCTGGGCCTCGGTTTCCTCTTTTATAAAATAGGAATAATATTACCCAACCATGTGAAGAGCCTGGCACTTGAGTAATTTAAAAGGGCCCCTTGCATGTGTATTATTACTGACCATGCTATTTGTTTACATTCTATGCCGGCCGGCCCCTGCAATGCAAAAGGAGACCGGCAAGAAAGGTAGCTAGGTATTCAACTAGGAAAGGTTTGATAAAGAAATGGTATCCAGTAATTGATATTTTAGTCATTCCTGACTTGTTGACCTAATTAGATTTTTTTCCCCAGCTTCTTTGCTCATAGGAAACAACACACGAGTAGTTTTCACATATTGTTTGACCTACATTTGTGTCCATTATAAAACTAATCTTGATTTGATACAGAAGAACTAAACTTCATAGCAATAATTTTCTAGCAAATGGATCTCACTCATAAGAAAATAAAAGGACATATGTCCATTTTAGAACCAACTTCTGGTTACAGTGAGAGCCATTTGTGCCAAAAATGACTAGTACCATTAAAAAGCAATCCACTCCTAGGTATATACCTGGAAGAATTGAAAAAATATGTCAACACAAAATCTTGGACATGAGTATTTGTAGCAGTGTTATCACAATAGTCAAAAGGTAGAAGCAACCCAAATGTCCATTAACTGATGAATGAATGGATAAACAAGATGTGGCATATCCATACAGCAGAATATTATACAGCTATAAAAAGGAATGAAGTTCTGATACATGCTACAACATGGATGAACCTTGAAAACGCTAAGTCAGAAACAGAAGACCACTATTACATGATTCCAGTTATATGAAATGTTCAAAATAGGCAAATATATGAAGACAGAAAGTAGATTTGTGGTTACCAGCGGCTGGAGAGAGGAAGGAATTGGGAGTGACTGGTAATGAATATGAGGTTTGTTTTTGGAGTGATGAAAGTGTTGTGAAATTAGATGATGATGATGAATGCATAACTCTGTGAATACTCTGAAAACCCTGAATTGCACACCTAAAAACGGGAATTTTTACTTTAATAAACCTATTACTTTTTTTGAGACAGGTTCTCACTCTGTTACCCAGGCTGGAGTGCAGTGGCATGGTCACAGCTCACTGCAGCCTCAAATTCCCAGGCTCAAGCAATTTTCCTGCTTCAGTCTCCCTAGTAGCACAGACTACAGGCACACACCACCACAAGTGGCTAATTAAAAAAAAAAAATTGTTTTAGAGATGGAGTCCCACTATGTTGCCCAGGCTGCTCTCCAACTCCTGGGCTCAAGTGATCCCCTCCCCTCAGTCTCCCAAAGTGATGGAATTATAGGCATGAGCCACAGCACCTGGACTAAACCTGTTACTTTTTAAAACATTATTGTCTATTGTACTTGCCCTCTTTAAGGATGGTATGCATTTGAAAATATTTAAATATAGAAATGTTTTGGGGAGGATAAAAAAGACTCAGAACATGAATCACTCACCTAAACTCCAACAAAATATTTCTAAGGCTGTTAATAAATGCAATTAGGGAATGATATGGAGATGTTAAGATTTCTGTTTTGTTTAATGCTCTCTTCTTAAAGGGGACCGAAAGTTGAATAATACTCAAAGATTTCAGGGTCATACTGACAGGAATCCAATTTTTTAAAAAACACAAAACTCAATCTTGAGTCACTGAAGACAAAATAACAGATTTGCCCAGAAAATGTTGCTTACAGGGTTAAAGAGCCCTAAGGCTCTTGAGCCACTTCCACCAGCAGGCAGGAATGAGGTGGAAAAGTTATCCACCACTCCAAGTGCTACAGCTGTGGCTCATGCCTTCCAGCAGAAGTAAACAGCACTGGGCACTTTAATAGAAAGCTTGTCTTTTCCAAAAGTTTCATCCAGTTTCTCAAATTGAACTATCAAACTACTTTTAAAAAAACCCTCAATTTGAACTGAAATACCCAGTCTTCGGAGAAGTGCCCATTTTCCTCAGTTCTGGCCAGAACAATGAAGGAGCCTGCAGAAAGAGCAACCCATATCTGATCAAGTACATGAGGTGTCAGTCCATCTTTAGAGGCAAAAGGAATATATATCTTCTTAAGGCTCTTTTCACTGTTAGTGCTTGGCAAATCCCATTTTACTCTGAAATAACAAAATAACAAAATCTATAAGCTTTTGCTAAAACCCTGGGGCCTTCATTTCTCTCCCTGATAGAGATGATTCTGTAAATGGCTTATACAACTGAAACATTGGTTTTCATTTTAATAATATAATTAATGCCTTAAAACTAAGTGTAAGCATTTTGCTTGTGATTTCCTAATTCGTGGGTATATACCCACTTTTTTTTTGTTACAAAATAACAGAAAGCCTGGTGTAATTGGAACCACTGTCCTGAGAGAAACCTACTGAGTATTGTAGTCCTGTGTATGCATTGACTAGCTCTGTGACCTTAAGCAAGTTATATACCCTCTCTAGGTCTCAGTTCCTTTCAGCATAAAATAATGGGCATTAGCTAGATGCTGTCTAGGTCCCTTTGATGTTCTTGATACTATGATTTTAATTCTGTATTTTGTCTCTTTGGATGCACATATTGGTTCAAGCCAAGTGGCCTGTTTGCTGCAAAAAAAGATGTGCTTTTGTGCTAGTTCCAGGTGCTTGTGCTTTTGCTTTGCTCTGCCCGCTTCAGAGAGTTGCAATGATGGCAGTCACAAGAAGTAGCACATCAAAATGAAAAAGTGTTGCATGTCTACTCATTTGAAGAGCTTTCTTTTTCATTGATTACTTAGCAGCTTAGAGCTTTGCATGCACTTCAAAGTGAAGGTCTCAGAATTGGCCTTTACAAGGAGCAAAAGAGGATGGATATGCAGTGGGCTTCCATCGAAGGAGGTGAGTAGAATTTCAATGGAGCAACTTGGAAAATTGTTATGAGTGAATCTGAAACCCTAGCAACCCATATCTGATATCTCAATTACTCTGAAATCACCCCTAAGTCTCTCTTTCCATTTGAATTTTTATTTATTTTGTTCTGTTTTATTTATTTATTTTTGAGACAAGGCCTCACTCTGTCACCCAGGCTGGAGTTCAGTGGCATGATCACAGGTCACTGCAGCCTCAAACTCCCAGGCTTTAAGCTGTTCTCCCACCTCGGCCTCTTGAGTAGCTGAGACAACAGGTACAAGCCACCATGCCCTGCTAATTTTTTTTTATTTTGTGTAGAGATGTGTTCTCCATATCTTGCCAAGGCTGGTCTTGAACTCCTGGGCTCAAGTGATCCTCCTACCTCAGCCACCCAAAGTGCTGGGTGTCACGCACCCAGGCATGAGCCACCACACCCAGCCTCAGGACTTGGTGCCCTTTTAGGTGAATGAGAATCAAACAGATTCTCCTGGAACACATCCACAAGCTGAAGGCAGAGAAGGCCTGCAAGAAGCCCCTGGCTGACCAGATAGGCCCCCAGGGTTAAGACCAAGGAAGTACAGGAGTGCCCTAAGGAGCCACTTCAGGCCAAGAAGGACGTAACCAAGGCTCTGTGCATGCAAGAGATCAGGACATAAAGGTCCCCATCTCTTACATACGCATGGTGGTTGATATGGTTTGGCTCTGTCTCCACACCCAAATCTTATTCCTAATCAAAATACCCATGTGGCAAGGGAGAGACCTGGTGGGAGGTGAGTGGATCATGGGGATGGTTCCCTCATGTTGTTCTTGTGATAGGGAGTTCTCATGGGACCTGATAATTTTAAAAGTGACAGTTTCCCCTGCATTCTCTGTCTTTCCTGCCACCTTGTGACAAAGGTACTTGCTTCTCCTTCACCTTCCACCGTGATTGTAAGTTTCCTGAGGCCTCCTCAGCCATGCAGAGCTATGAATCAATTAAACCTCTTTCCTTTATAAATTATCCAGTCTCTGATACTTCTTTATAGCAGTGTTAAAACAGACTAACACAGGTATGTACTGTTTACCTTAAATTATGGTCATTGTGCATATTTTGTCCTCAAGGAAAGATGACAGCTGATTTTGGTTGGTTGGTTGGTTGTTTTTCTCCCCCATGCCTCTCAACTTCCTTATGGAAAAATTACTGCCATAAAAGAACTCAACATCACAAAGATAGGAATAATTGGAGTCCTAATTTTCTTTGGTATATCACCTGAGTTCCAAATATGAGGTCATTTAATAGTATTACACATTTATAAAATCATGACATGTGGAGCAAAATGTCACTTGCTAAAATTAAGGACTTGCCAATTCTTAAAATTGTTGATAGATGTCTAACCACTGAATTATATACTTTCCTTGATGTTGAGATTGTCTTTTTGGTAAACATAACGCTGGTCTACATAACCTACAGCACAACTGAATATCAAAGGTTTATTTGATATTTGTGCTTCTCTACACCCCCTTCAATAAACCAGAATATTCTTAATATTCAACCAATGCTTCCAATATTATTGGATTTCTGTAGTAGTTTTGATTTGATGACTTATAGCCCTCTGAAGAGAACAGAAAGGTTTATAATAGTGGATCAGTAAATTACTGCTTTGCCAGAAAAAATCCATGAGGTAATTTTCTACATTAATCACCTATTTTATAGATGAGTGATCCAGAGAATGATTGTCTAAGTTTAAATTTAATTATTAAAAATGTAGAAACAGAAAATATGCATTTAAAATATTTTTTCTTTACACATTTTCTCTTATACTTTTCAAAGTATTTCTCATGTATGCTTAGGCTATGTAAAAATAAAATTAAACTACATAATTTGGTTTATTATTACAATGCAATAATAGGGAAACCCTTTATTTACATGATTTTATGCATTACCCCAAAACCAATACATTTTTGTCTTATTAATATGCTGAGATTCAGTCAATACATATGTATTGAGAACCCACTTCATGCCCTTTTTAGGGTGTGGTAGAGAACAACACAGAGAAAATCACAACTCTTATGAAGCCCACATTCTATTTGCGGAAGACAGAAAATAAACAAGCAAATCAATGGAAAGAATAATTTCAAAGAGAGACAAACACTAAAGGGAAAATTGAGAGGGGTGGTGGGAAGGAAAGTGACTGGTTGATCGCTATTACAGAGAGGGCAGCCGAGGAGAAAGTCAGTCTAAATAACAAGAAGAGTCAGCCAGCAAAGATCTGGGAGGAGGGCATTCCAGGCTAAGAGAAAAGCAAATGCAGCAGCCTTCGATCAAGAATAAGCTTGGAGTGTTCCAGGACCAGGAAGGAGGCCAGTGTAGCTGGTGCAGACTGGGTGAGAGGGAGAATCATAGGGAGTGGAGTGTGAGGGGTGAAGAGTAATGAGGTTATGCACTGCCCCACGTTGGCTGTGGGAATAGATTTCCATTGTACAGCATTTTAATTATAACCAGAAATCACTAAAAGTTTTAAATAGAGTGTATATAATCTATACACCGTTTTAAAGGAGAACTTTGAATGTTGTATAGAGAGAGAATAGAATGAAGGAAAAGCAAGAATAGAAGTAATTAAGAGGTTGTATTTCAGCAAGATGTGATGCTGACTTGGATATGGGTAGAAGCAATGGGCAGGGCGAGGAGTGATCAGATTTGGAAGGTTTCTAATCTTGTGTAAGGGATAGATGTAAGGGGCTCTGGCCTAACAACTGGGTAAATGGTGATGTCACTCACTGAGAAGGAGAAGACTATGAAAGGAGCATATTTGGAGAGGGAGGAGATCAAGAATTCCACTTTTAGTATTCTAAGTGTTAGTGAGCTATTAAACAGGTAAAGATATGGAGTAAGCAGTTAGATAAATGAGCGTAGTACCCTGAAGCGTATATGATTTGCAGTTCATTTCCAAAAACGTACACTACTTTCTACAGATGTTTGGCAAATACTCTCATTGTTTTCTGTTAATCTTCTCCCCAAAGCCATTAATGGAATTTCTTTAGAAATGATGCACATCTGATTTTTTTCCTTGTACTCACCTGCCCAAGTAGATGTCCTTGGATATGAGAAGAAGAATGCAAATTATGTTGGATGCCTGAAATTGAAGGGTTTCTTAATTTTCACTGATGCATTAGTATTAGTACCTTCCTCAGTCTATTAATTTGCCTTAATTTACTCCTTCTTAATTTTTTGCAGTACTTCTCCTTTTTCCCAGAAAAGTGTAAAAAAAGTCTTAATATAACTTTTACATACTAAGAATCAGAATAAAGTTAGTCTTGTATCACCAACACTTACTGTAGAACTTAGATTAGATCAAGATGAAATAAATGTTGGTTGAATTAATGCATCAATTACAATAACTATATTTAATGTGTATTTTTAATTTTTATTATCATCAAATTTAATAATTTAACAAGGATCTTGAGGCTTTCCAAATATTATGTGAAGCCAAGCTACAACAAGCTACACAAATGAGGTTACATAATTTGGTCAATACAGACAGAGATGGTGAGTTAATTATCCTAATGTCACTGGGTAAAATTCAACTGCCTATGACGTACATAGTCTATAGCTTAGGTGAACAAACACTGTTTTCCCCCACAAAGGTGGTACAGTAGGCAGTTCAAAGTAGGGAAATTAAACCTAACTGAAAGGTCAAGGATGGAGAGAGAGACTTGGAGATGATTGGAGATTGATGGAAAAACAGATCTGGGCCCGTGTTGCACTTCCTTTGTGATGCACTCGCTTGATATTCTAGACAAACGTGATCAAATTTCACCCACTTCATAGTGATGAAAAGAAAAAGCAGTGCTAGTCAGTGCAACACTGGTGACCAACAGGATTCACATAGAGTTTTTCCAAATAACAGAGCAAGTGAAAATTCATCTTCCCATCTCCATGCAATAAGTGAGAGAAAACATGAGAGATGAACAAAAGTTTTTGTAAGGTTCATTTGTGAGGAGAGAACACAGATTATCCCTGGAGATCAATTGATGAGAAGAAAGGCAGTGATTCACTTAGACGGAGGCACAAAATAGAAAGAACAGGGCCATGTATTTTCTTGGCAAATGGGGGTTTTTCATTCTTTTGGGGTATATTTTCAGTTTGGATAAGTTGTATTTTTCCAACTTACAGCTCCAAGGTGATAAGGCAACAGCCTTTGAACCTATTGAAACAAACATTTCATTATTAAAGAAAGACTATTAGCCCTTTTAAGTAAAAGTTTTGGGCAAAATAAGATCCATTTTATGATGACACCATATATTATAGAATAAGTATCCTTTTTTTTTTTTTTTTTGATACAGAGTTTTGCTCTGTCACCCAGGCTGGAGTGCAGTGGCGCGATCTCGGCTCACTGCAAGCTCCGCCTCCCAGGTTCACGCCATTCTCCTGCCTCAGCCTCCCGAGTAGCTGGAACTACAGGCGCCCGCTACCACACCCGGCTAATTTTTTTTTTTTTTTTTGTACTTTTAGTAGAGATGGGGTTTCACCGTGTTAGCCAGGATGTTCTCGATCTCCTGACCTCGTGATCCACCCACCTTGGCCTCCCAAAGTGCTGGGATTACAGGCGTGAGCCACTGCGCCCAGCCCAGAATAAGTATACTTTTATGGTAACAGGAATGTAAGAAATCACTCGTATTTTCCATATCCATCTAACAAGATAATGGCTATCTGTGGTTTTGCTTTCTAAAGAACCAGTGTCAAGAATGTTCACATTCCTTTCAAGCTTTCCAATTAAGTTGTTCATTAAGACTAGCCTCAATTACATTTTATAGCCAAAACTGAAGTAAAAAATATAGGACTTAAAATGCCTTTTCCCATACTTAATTAAAATGCAGATACTGGGACTGCAAACAAGGCGACTCTGAATCATTAAATCCAGGATGAGATCCAAGAAGGAATCTCATCTGCATTTTTAACAAGCTCTTCAGATAATTCTAATGAAGCTGACTTTCCTCTACACCATACTTTGGGAAACATTTGTTTTGACTCATGAACTTGAAGTTTTAAGGACCCTAGAGATCATCCTGTAAAATCAAATTGGTTTGTTCTACAAATGATGAAAGCAAAGTCAAGAGAATTTGGTGCTTGCCAGTTTGGTTGGTGATTACTAGCAAAGGTCTCCTAACTCCAAGGCCAGAGTTCCCACATGAGGCTCCTTCCTACCCAAGGCCTGGAACACACAGTGTGAACATGAACTAGGAACCAGTGTTTGATCAATAGAGCCTCCCAGGCTGCAGGGTAGTATGGGGACGTGCTCTGAGAATTTCATCATCACCCACAGATAACAGTAACTTAAGCCACACCCCACAACAATCCATTCAGTCTTCTAAAAATAATAAAAAATAAACCATTACCTTTATATAGAACTTTGTATTTCACTAAAGACTTTCACATTTTATGTTATCTTAATCTCCTAAAACTTTATCCATGAGATGAATAGAAATTATTATTTTCATTATTCAAAGAAAATGGAACTCAGATAAATTGAGTATGGTGAAATTACAGCTTAGACATATTTAATATACTAAAGTTCAACAGGTAAAATTTAGCCAAATGAGAAAGAGAAGAATCTTCTGAAATAGTATGGGCTGCTAGCTTGCCAATACACTCAGTGAGCATGTGCACCAGCATGAACAGGAAATGGAGTCCCTCAATCTGCCCTCACTGTCTCAGGCCCCCATCTCTCTGGGGAATAAGAAATAAGCAGCTCCCCTCACTTGTACATGAAGCTAAAAGCTAAATGTTTGTATCTTTATACCCCATTTTCACTACACACAAGCACAATTACCGCCTTTGGTGTCTTCCCTATGAAGCAACAATCTGGTCCAAGAGGAACCTAGGTGTGTTGGACTCATGGAGAGATGGTGAGTTGATGCCCAATTAGGTAGATGGAGCCTAGAGAGGAGACCTGCTGGTGGAGTTACATACGCACCGCCCCCATCACCTGCTCACCCAACCATGCCGCATCATGGCATAGAACGTGGCCACATTCAACCTAGCATCAAGATCTGAAAGATGAGTTTTCTTTTTTTTTTTTAATTAAACTTTAAGTTCTCGGATACATGTGCAGAACGTGCAGGTTTGTTACATAGGTATACATGGGCCATGGTGTTTCGCTGCACCCATCAACCTGTCATCTAGGTTTTAAGCCCACATGCAATAGGTATTTGTCCTTATGCTCTCTCTCCCCTTGCCCCCTATCCCCCAACAGGCCCTGGTATGTGATGTTCCCCTCCCTGTGTCCATGTGTTCTCATTGTTCAACCCCCACTTATGAGTGAGAATATGCAGTGTTTGGTTTTCTGTTCCTGTGTTAGTTTGCTGAGAATGATGGCTTCCAGCTTCATCCATGTCCCTGCAAAGGACATGAACTCATCCTTTTTTATGGCTGCATAGTATGCCATGGTATATATGTGCCACATTTTCTTTATCCAGTCTATCACTGATGGACATTTGGGTTGGTTCCAAGTCTTTGCTATTGTGAATAGTGCTGCAATAAACATATGTGTGCATGTGTCTTTACAGTGGAATGATTTATAATCCTTTGGGTATATACCCAGTAATGTGATTGCTGGGTCAAATAGTATTTCTGGTTCTTGATCCTTGAGTAATCACCACACTGTCTTCCACACTGGTTGAACTAATTTACACTCCCACCAACAGTGTAAAAGCATTCCTATTTCTCCACATCCTTGCCAGCATCTGTTGCTTCCTGATTTTTTAATGATCACCATTCTAACTGGTGTGAGATGGTATCTCATTGGGGTTTTGATTTGCATTTCTCTAATGACCAGAGATGGTGAGCTTTTTTTATATGTTTGTTGGCCACATAAATGTCTTCTTTTGGGAAATGTCTGTTCATATCCTTCACCCACTTTATGATGGGGTTGTTTGTTTTTTCTTGTAAATTTGTTTAAGTTCCTTGTAGATCCTGGATATTAGACCTTTGTCAGATAGATAGATTGCAAAAATTTTCTCCCATTCTATAGGTTCCCTGTTCACTTTGATGATAGTTTCTTTTGCTGTACAGCTCTTCAGTTTAATTAGATCCCATTTGTCAATTTTGGCTTTTGTTGCAATTGCTTTTGCTGTTTTAATCATGAAGTCTTGCCCATGCCCATGTCCTGAATGGTATTGCCTATGTTTTCTTCTAGGGTTTTTATGGTTTTAGGTTTTACATTTAAGTCTTTAATGCATCTTGAGTTAATTTTTATATAAGGTGTAAGGAAGGGGTCCAGTTTCAGTTTTCTGCATATGGCTAGCTGGCCTTCCAAGCACCATTTATTAAATAGGGAATCCTTTCCTGACTGCTTGTTTTTGTCAGGTTTGTCAAAGATCAGATGATTGTAGATGTGTGGTGTTATTTCTGCAGCCTCTATTTTGTTCCATTGGTCTATATACCTGTTTTGGTACCAGTATCCTGCTGTTCTGTTTACTGTAGCCTTGTAGTATAGTTTGAAGTCACGTAGTGTAATGCCTCTAGCTTTGTTCTTTTTGCTTAGGATTGTCTTGCCTATATGGGCTCTTGTTTGGTTCCATATGAAATTTAAAGTCATTTTTTCTAGTTCTGTGAAGAAAGTCAATAGTAGCTTGATGGGAATAGCATTGAATCTATAAATTACTTTGGGCAGTATGGCCATTTTCGCAATATCGATTCTTCCCATCCATGAGCATGGAATGTTTTTCCATTTGTTTGTGTATCCTGTCTCATTTCCATGAGCAGTGGTTTGTAGTTCTTCTTGAAGAGGTCCTTCACATCCCTTGTAAGTTGCAGTCCTAGGTATTTTATTCTCTATGTAGCAATTGTGAATGCGAGTTCACTCATAATTTGGCTCTCTGTTTGTCCATTGTTGTATAGGAATGCTTGTGATTTTTACACATTGATTTTGTATCCCAGGACTTTGCTGAAGTTGCTGATCAGCTTAAGGAGTTTTTGGGCTAAGACAATGGGGTTTTCTAAATAAACAATCATGTCATCAGCAAACAGAGACAATTTGACTTCCTCTTTTCCTAATTAAATACGCTTTATTTCTTTCTCTTGCCTGATTGCCCTGGCCAGAACTTTCAATACTATGTTGAGTAGGAGTGGTGAAAGAGGGCATCCTTGTCTTGTGCTGGTTTTCAAAGGGAATACTTCCAGCTCTTGGCCATTCAGTATGATATTGGCTATGGCTTTGACATAAATAGCTCTTATTATTTTGAGATATGTTCCATCAGTACCTAGTTTATTGAGTGTTTTTACCATGAAGGAGTGTTGAATTTTATCAAAGTCCTTTTCCGCATCTATTGAGATAATCATGTGGTTTTTGTCATTGTTTCTGTTTATATGATGGATTATGTTTCTCGATTTGCATATATTGAACCAACCTTGCATCCCAGGGATGAAGCTGACTTGACGTTGATGGATAAGCTTTTTGATGTGCTGCTGGATTCAGTTTGCCAATATTTTATTGAGGATTTTCACATCTATGTTCATCAGGGATATTGGACTGAAATTTTCTTTTTTTTTTTTTTTAATTTTTTTATCTCTGTCAGGTTTTGGTACCAGGATAATTCTGGCCTCATAAAATGAGTTAGGGAGGATTCCTTCTTTTTCTATTGTTTGGAATAGTTTCAGAAGGAATGGTAACAGCTCCTCTTCGTACCTCTGGTAGAATTCGGTTGTGAATCCATTTGGTCCTGGGCTTTTTTTTGGTTGGTAGGCTATTAATTACTGTCTCAATTTCAGAACTTGTTACTGGTCTGTTGAGGGATTGAACTTCTTCCTGGTTTAGTCTTGGGAGGGTGTATGTGTTCAGGAATTTATCCATTTCTCCTAGATTTTCTGGTTTATTTGTGTAGAGGTGTTTATAGTATTCTGTGATGGTAGTTTGTATTTCTGTGGGACCAGTGATGATATCCCCTTTATCATTTTTTATTGTGTCTATTTGAATCTTCTCTCTTTTCTTCTTTATTAATCTGGCTGGCAGTTTATCTATTTTGTTAATCTTTAAAAAAAAACAGCTCCTGGATTCATTGATTTTTTTGAAGGGTTTTTCATGTCTCTATCTCCTTCAGTTCTGCTCTGATCTTAACTATTTCTTGTCTTCTGCTAGCTTTTGAATATGTTTGCTCTTGCTTCTGTAGTTCTTTTAATTGTGATGTTAGGGTGTCAATTTTAGGTTTTTCTCACTTACTGATGTGGGCATTTAGTGCTATAAATTTCCCTCTACACGGCTTTAGCTGTGTCCCAGAGATTCTGGTACATTGTGTCTTTGTTCTCATTGGTTTCAAAGAACTTCTTGATTTCTGCCTTAATTTCATTATTTACCCAGAAGTCATTCAGGAGCAGCTTGTTCAGTTTCTGTGTAGTTGTAGAGTTTTGAGTGAGTTTCTTAATCCTGAGTTGTAATTTGATTGCACTGTGGTCTGAGAGACTGTTTGTTATGATTTCCATTCTTTTGCATTTGCTGAAGAGTGTTTTACTTCCAATTATATGGTCGATTTTAGAATAAGTGCTATGTCATGCTGAGAATAATGTATATTATGTTGATTTGGGGTGGAGAGTCCTATAGACATCTATTAGGTCTACTTGGTTCAGAGCTGAGTTCAAGTCCTGAATGTCCTTGTTAATTTTCTGTCTCATTGGTCTGTCTAATATTGACAGTGGGGTGTTAAAGTCTTCCACTATTATTGTGTGAGAGTCCAAGTACCTTTGTTGGTCTCTAAGAACGTGCTTAATGAATCTGTGTGCTCCTGTATTGGATGCATATATATTTAGGATAGTTAGCTCTTCTTGTTGCATTGATCCCTTTACCATTATGTAATGTCCTTCTTTGTCTTTTTTGATCTTTGTTGGTTTAAAGTCTGTTTTGTCAGAGACTAGTATTGCAACCCCTGCTTTTTTTTTCTTTCCATTTGCTTGGTAAATATTCCTCCATCCTTTTATTTTGAACTTATATGTGTCTTTGCACATGAGATGGGTCTCCTGAATACAGCACACCAGTGGGTCTTGACTCTTTATCCAATTTTCCAGTCTGTGTCTTTTAATTGGGGCATTTAGTCCACTTACATTCGAGGTTAATATTGTTATGTATGAATTTGATTCTGTCATCATAATGCTAGCTGGTTATTTTGTACATTAGTTGATGCAGTTTCTTCACAGTGTTGTTGGTCTTCATATTTTGGTATGTTTTTGCAGTGGCTGGTACCAGTTTTTCCTTTCCATATTTAGTGGTTCTTTCAGGAGCTCTTGTAAGGCAGGCCTGGTGGTAACACAATATCTCAGCATTTGCTTATCTGTAAAGGATTTTATTTCTCCTTCACTTTATGAAGCTTAGTTTGGCTGGATATGAAATTCTGTGTTGAAAATTCTTTTCTTTACGAATGTTGCAAATTGGCCCCCACTCTCTTCTAGCTTGTGGGGTTTCTGCTGAGAAATCTGCTGTGAGTCTGATGGGTTCCCTTTGGAGGTAACCTGACCTTTCTCTCTGTCTGCCCTTAACATTTTGTCCTTCATTTCAACCTTGGAGAATCTGAAGATTATTTGTCTTGGGGTTGCTCTTCTCAAGGAGTATCTTAGTGGTGTTCTCTGTATTTCTTGAATTTGAATGTTGGCCTGTCTTGCTGCGTTGGGAAAGTTCTCCTGGATGACATCCTGAAGTGTGTTTTCCAACTTGGTTCCATTCTTCCTGTCACTTTCACGTACACCAATCAAAGGTAGGTTTGGTCTATTTACATAGTCTCATATCTCTTGGAGGCTTTGTTCATCCCTTTTCATTTTTTTTTTTTCTACTCTTGTCTTCATGCCTTATTTCATTAAGTCGATCTTCAATCTCTGATATCCTTTCTTCTGTTTGTTGGTTTGGCTATTGATAGTTGTGTATGCTTCACGAAGTTCTCATGCTGTGTTTTTCAGCTCCATCAGGTCATTACGTTTTTCTCTAAACTGGTTATTCTAGTTAGCAATTCCTGTAACCTTTTATCAAGGTTCTTAGCTTCCTTGCATTGGGTTAGAACATGCTCCTTTAGCTCAGAGGAGTTTGTTATTACCCACCTTCTGAAGCCTACTTCTGTCAATTTGTCAAACTCATTCTCTGTCCAGTTTTGTGCCCTTGCTGGAGAGGAGTTCCAATCATATGGAGGAGAAGAGGTATTCTGGCTTTTGGAATTTTCAGCATTTTTGCATTGGTTTTTCCTCATCTTCATAGATTTATCTACCCTTGATCTTTGATGCTGATGACCTTTGGATGGGGTTTTTCTGTGGGAGTCCTTTTTGTTGATGTTGATGTTATTGCTTTCTTTTTGTTAGTTTTACATCTAACAGGCCTCTCTTCTGCAGGTCTGCTGGAGTTTGCTGGAGGTCCACTCCAGACCCTGTTTGCCTAGATATCACCAGTGGAGGCTGCAGAACAGCAAAGATTGCTGCCTGTTTCTTCCTCTGGAAGCTTCGTCCCAGAGGGGCACCCGCCTAATGCCAGTTGGAACTCTCCTATATGAGGTGTCTGTCGACCCCTGCAGGGAGGTGTCTCCTAATCAGGAGGCATGGGGATCAGGGACCCACTTGAGGAGGCAGTCTGTCCCTTAGCAGAGCTCAAGCCCTGTGCAGGAGATCCATAGTAGGCAGGAATGTTTAAGTCTGCTGAAGCTGCTCCCACAGCCACCCCTTCCCCCAGATGTTCTGTCCCAGGGAGGTGGGAGTTTTATCTATAAGCCCCTGGCTAGGGCTACTGCCTTTCTTCCAGAGATGCCCTGCCCAGAGAGGAGGAATCTAGAGAGGCAGTTCGGCCCCAGGTGCCTTGCTGCACTGTGGTGAGATCTGCACAGTCAGAATTAACACTGTGAGGGGAAAACTGCCTACTCAAGCCTCAGTAATGGTGGGTGCCCCTCCCCCCACCAAGCTCAAGCTTCCCAGGTCGACTTCAAACTGCTGTGCTGGCAGCCAGAATTTCAAACCAGTTGTTCTTAGCTTGCCGGGCTCCATGGTAGTGGGACCCGCTGAGCAAGACCACTTGGCTCCCTCGCTTCAGCCCCCTTACCAGGGGAGTGAATGATGCTGTCTCACTGGGGTTCCAGGTGCCACTGAGGCACCAAAAACAAAACAAAACTCTTGCAGCTAGCTCAGTGTCTGCCCAAACAGCTGCCCAGTTTTGTGCGTGAAACTCAGGGCCCTGGTGGCAAGGCACCCAAGGGGATCTCCCAGTCTGTGGGTTGCAAAAACCATGGGAAAAGCATAGTACCTGGGCCGGATAGCACAATCCCTCATGGCACAGTCCCTCACAGCTTCACTTGGCTAGGGGAAGGAGTTCCCTGGCCCCTTGCACTTCCCAGGTGAGACAATGCCCTACCCTGCTTCTGCTTGCCCAACATGGGCTGCACCCACTGTCTAACAAGTCCCAGTGAGATTAACTGGGTACCTCAGTTGGGAATGCAGAACTCACCCACCTTCCGCACTGGTCTTGCTGGGAGCTACAGACCAGAGCTATTCCTATTCCACCATCTTGCCAGCTCTTCAAGAGGATTTTTCTTAAGCTGAAAAACATAGAACTGAAATCCTGAAGTAATTCTTAAGGATAATTTTGATCATGTGGAGTTTTACTTTGTACAGTGACTTTAGAACTACTCTAGTGACACCCAAATGAAAATTGATAGGGCTGCCTAGATGTCAGAGCAATCAAATAAAAAATATGGATGTTATGCTAGGTATGGTGGCTCACACCTGTAATCCCAGCCCTTTGGGAGGCCAGGGTGGGTGGATCCCTTGAGCCTGGGAGTTCAAGACCAGCCTGGGCAACATGGTGAAACCCCATTTCTACTAAAAATGTAAAAATTAGCCGGGTGTGGTGGTGCAAACTGTAGTCCCAGGGGGCTGAGGCAAGAGGATCACCTGAGTCCGGGAGGTGGAGGTTGCAGTGAGCTGATATCGCACCACTGCACTCTAGCCTGGGCAACAGAGCAAAATCCTGTCTCAAAAAATTAATTAATTAATTAAAAAATATATGAATGTTAAGGAAAATAAGCTATAATTGCAAGGGCCTACTTAAATACCATCTTAGTTTGGATTTCCCTAGAGGCACACCTGGAGAAAGTAGTTTATATGAGGGTGATCCCATGAACCATTAGGAGGTGAGATCAAGAAAGGTAGAAGCCAATACAAGAAGCATTCATGAGCAGGTTATTGCTGTGGGAGACCTCTGAGAAAATGTTTAGAACCTACCTCAGGGTTGTTGCACCAGAGGGGCAGGGAAGCTGGAGTACTTATCTGTCAAATCCTATTTGGTCGTTCATTGAAATTTGTTCCCAAGGGTTTACTTTTCCTGCCTGTCCTGAAGGGCTAAGCACACACTTGCCAACAGAGAAAGCAGGAAGTAGCAGGTTCTTGCAGAAAAGGGCCATTGGCATGTATGGAACAGTGGATGAAATAGAATGCAGCTATTAAAAATGATTTATAGTAGACAGTTGATATAAAAGATAACCATAAGATATACAATGGAAAAAACAAGTTACTGAAAGATATGACATCTTTGTTAAAAAAAAAAAAGGAGTATATTACATGCACCTGTATGCTTAGAGAAAAATTTGAAAAATATACAACAAAATAGTAGTAATTGTTATGTCTGGGAGGCAGGACTACCATTCATTTTTATTGCCTCCTTGGTGCATATTAGTATTTTCTTAGTTTTCCACAGTGAATATGCATTATATTTGTTAACAGAGAAGCCCTTTTAAAAATAAAAGAAATGAATGCATTTCTGCATTGTGAGGGCTATCTAATCTCGAAGGATTCTGTGGATCCTGATAGCAGCACAGCCCCTATATTAACAAAGGTTGGGGTAGAAACGAAACTGGGAGAGCAGGATGCTGTGAATGAGCATTTAATTTAGGATGTCCTTGCTTGCTGTTCTAGATAAACATAATCAGCATTCACTCACTTAATGGGTAGATTTAGTCAATAGTTGTTCCAATTAACAGAGCAAATGAAAATTTATTTGCCTGACTCCCTGATTTTTGCTCACATGAGTGGAAGTGGGAGATAAATAAAAATATTTATGAGATTGATATGTGGGAAAAAACCAAAGGTTTTTTTGGCCAGTGGAGAGATATTGTAGCCCTCGGCATGTTAGGGAAGTGTGAGAACCTAAACTGGCCAATTGCATCCAGAGAGCAACTAGTAAGAAGAAAGCCTGAGTGAATCATGTCCAGTAAGAGACAAGGACTGCGAAAGATATGGACCAATCCCTGAGGCCACATAAAGTTAGATCTTCTCTCTCTGCTATGTCTTTTAATTTCTGTTTCTTATTTTCAGTCTACCTTTTCCCTTCTACTGTTCTCTGAATAGTTTATTTGCTGGGTCTAATTTGCTGTTAAGTTTATCCATTGAGTTCTTCGTTTTGATTATATTGTTGTTCTTTCTAGAATTTCTAATTGTTTCTTTGTCACATTCGCTTGTCATTTGGGTCATCTCTTGCTCCTTGTTCATATAGTGGACCCTTGAACAATACAGATTTGAACTACATGGGTCTACTTATACACAGATTTTCTTCTGTCTCTGCCACCCCTGAGACAGCAAGACGAACCCCTCATCTTGCTCCTCCTTTTCAGCCTTCTCAACATGAAGATGGGGATGAAGACCTTTATGATGATTCACTTCCACTTAATGAATAGTAAATATATTTTCTCTTCTTTATGGTTTTCTTAATAACGTTTCCCTTTCTCTAGCATACTTTACTGTAAGAATACAGTATATAATACATACAACCTACAAAATATGTTTTAACCAACTGTTCATGTTATTGGTAAGACTTCCAGTCAACAGGAGGCTATTAGCAGCTACGTATTGGGGAGTCAAAAGTTATATGCAGATTTTTGGCTGCGTGAGAGTTGGTACTCCAAACTCCCACATTGTTCAAGGGTCAACTATGTTTTCAATCCTCTCTTTCATTTCTCTGAATATATTAATCATACTTTTATTCTAGGTTTAAGTATACTTTTTGAAGGTTTTTTGTGAATCTGTTTTGCTACCTAATGTTTTTCCTGGATCTCACTAATGTTGCCATATTTTTTGGGGAATTCTGTGTTTTGTTTTCTTTTATTTCTTTAAGAGGATGACATGGGCTCATGCTTCTTGTAATTTTATCTATAGGAATTTTTTTGCAGCCAGTACTATAGATAATTTCTTTATCTATAGGATTTTTTTAAGGCCAGTACTTTAGAGAGGATTTGTGTTTTCTTCTCCTATGTACCTAGAGCCATGGCAACCTAGGACAGTTTTATTATATATCTTGAAGATTTTGTACTACGCAGATAGTATGAATTTGGATTGCAAATCCACGGAAAAGCCAATGGGTGTTTACAAAATCTCAGGGAATATTGTTTTACTTCCATCCTGCACCCATGTTTGAGACATGCTAGTCTTTCCCAACTTAACTTGAAGGGGGTTGAACATGCAAATTTATTTCTACTTCATCTTTGCACTTATGGGCTGCTTTTCAATATCCTGGCTTTATGTATGAGGTCTCTGTGATAAAGGAAAGAAAAAGACCAACACAGTTACCCACAAAATAAGTTCTGAGTTTATTATACCAGACAAGGAGACAATGACAAGAGAAAAGCTTCAGTGAATGGCTCCATAAAAGATGAAAGTCTGAAGTTTTTATACTCTAGAAGGTCGATTGTACTTATGCCAATTGTGGGTGAAGTTCTGTCCTAGATTAGGCAGGATGAGTCCATAAATTATAGCCAGTTGATTTCCTGTGTGCATTCAGGAATGAGTTTTTACTTTGGCTTATTGGGGTTGCTAATATTCCCAAGCATTTGTTAGCTTTGGCTGGTGGGTTGCCCTAAGTGTTAACAGTATCAACTGCTCAAAACTATTGTGGCTATATATATATCAGCATTTGGCTTTGATTTCTCCTGTGTAGGGGTTTTGCAAATAGAAACTTCTTATACATTGTACTTGATTCTCGCTTTAAGCAAAGGTTGAGCCCTTCAGGAAAAGTAAAACAAAATTTTAAGTTCATGCAGCTTCAATGCTTACTTCTCTGCACTCCTAACCAGCTAGCCAGCTGGTTGATGTACTTGAAAAGATTACTTTACATTATTTAATCCAGTTTTTTAGTCGTTGTCAGTGGAACAGACAATCTGGATGTCCTGTCTGATGAAACTAAAAGTCAAATAAATTGTAGGTTCCTTCTGCTTTGTAATGGAATTCAAATGTGTACCTCACTGGAATAATTCCAGTCTGGATTTACCCAAATCAATAATCCTACATATATAGTTAGTGTTATTTGCCCAGTGGCAAACCAGTGGGCTTGAGTCCTTTAATTCCACAGTAAAAGACTCCTTTTATAAAACAAAATGGTTAACAATTAAATTAACTTTGAAATACAATAACTAATTATGAAACATTTCAAGAGCAAGGGACTCTGTCATATTCATCTCTTATATTCCCAGTCCTGAATGAAGAGATAAACAAATGAATGAATGATTTACATTGGCAGTAGATACCTATGTGTTAAGATATGAAAATCATTCTAAAAAATATAGAAACAAGAGGAAGTACGATTTTTTGTTTGTATTTGCCATTTAGACTACAGCGTACATTGAGTAATTGAAGCTTGCTTAAAATGGAAATGTTTTCCTCTGGCAGATATAGTAAACAAATTCCATAGAAAAGGCCTCATATGAATCACTTTTCATCAGTTTTCAGACTATTCACCTAAATTACTGCAGCAAAGTAAAGACCTGTAAATTGTATGGCCAAGCAGATGCATATTGTTACTGGAATTGAACAACCTTCTATTTCTGGAATTGCTAAAACTTCATGGGGTATTACATTAAAACAAAGGCAAGGGAAAAAATTCCATCATTGGAGGAAAAAAAAATAAGAATTTATATATAACTCAACATCAGAACTAGAAAAAGCCAGGCACAGCACTTCCTTTAAAGTGGCTTTTCAAAAAACTAGCAAAAGAAGGCAATAGTTACTACCCACAAGTTCACTGAAAGCCTCTTTGCCTGAAGTTCCTATAGTTTGCCTGTTCATTTTCATTCAAAAAATATTTATTTAGTACTTACTATTTGCCACACACTGTGGAAGGCTTTGAGCATATTAGAAAGCTCACAGACAAATAAGGCAAAGAGATACATAAATATAATACAATGCAAAATAAATTCATGCATTGTTCTTTTTCCCCATCACCCAAACTTTAATATTGTATTCAATTAAATACCGGTTAATTATAACCAATGTCCATAAACATAGATTTTATTTCCCAACTGGCAACTAATGCTTCATTCAAAGTTGTGTAATGTGAAATTCAGAGTGAAAATTTGGACCTTGAAGTTTCCTGCCTTCACAGGGTATTAGTTAATTTGAATGATTGGCTACTAGTTGCCTTTGGACACTTAAAACATAAAAAAGAACATTACACAGTCCATTATGCTGCCAATCTGAGGCCTGAGGAGAAAAGAAAGAAGAGAAAAATGAGACTAGGCATTGGAAGTGAAATGAAAGCACAGAGTCCCATTTCCAGAAGCAAATGGTCCTCATCAAGGCAGAAAAATGCCAAATCAAATTTCAATGAGCCTGAAAATCCCTTGCCTCAAAAACATGACATTATAGAAAGAGTAAATAGTAAAAGTAAACACAACTGGGGAGAGAAAGAGAATGAAGATAAATTTATATATTTAGACCAAATGTAATTCAAATGTTACCTCGAGTCCTTTGCAGAATGATTGCTAATCCTTGGTATTGCAAAATAAATGCATTCATTAGAACTAACAGAAGGATCAAAGAAACCAGACAAATGATTGTTGGAATGTGGTTTAAATGACTCCAAGGGGAAGGAAGAAATCCCCAGGTAGTCTTGCTTCCCCACCCTATCAAGCTCACTCTCTCCCTCATAATTTAAACAAGTCTTAAATTTACAACACACAGAAAGCCAGTGAGTACATGTGGATCAATACAGAGAAACAAAAACATGGTAGTAGGAAGTCAAATGCTGGAACAAGATTTCCAGTCATAAAAATCAGGCAGAAAAATGGGGAAAGGGAGACAGTGCAACAATAGAGAGATGCCATGTGATATGGTTTGGCTGTGTCCCCACCCAAATCTTGTCTTGAATTCCCATATGTTCTGGGAGGGACCCAGTGGGAGGTAATTGAATCATGGGGGCAAGCCTTTCCCATACTGTTCTCGTGGTAGTGAATAAGTCTCACGAGATCTGATGGTTTTAAAAAGAGAAGTTCCCCTGTAAAAATTCTCTTCTCTTGTCTGCTCCCATGTGAGACTTGCCTTTCACCTTCTGCCATGATTGTGAGTGGAACTGTAAGTCCAATAAAACTCTTTCTTTTGTAAATTGCCCATTCTCAGGTGTGTCTTTATCAGCAGTGTGAAAATGAACTAATACAGTAAATTGGTACCTGTAGAATGGGGTGCTGTTGAAAAGATACTCAAAAATGTGGAAGTGACTTTGGAACTAGGTAACAGGCAGGTTGGAACAGTTTGGAAGTCTCTGAAGAAGAAAGAAAAATGTTGGTAAGTTTGGAACTTCCTAGAGACTTGTTGAGTAGCTTTGCCCAAAATGCTGATAATGATATGGACAATGAAATGCAGGCTGAGGTGGTCTCAGATGGAGATGAGGAACGTGTTGGGAACTGGAGCAAAGGTGACTCTTGTTACGTTTTACCAAAGAGACTGGCAGCATTTTGCCCCTGCCCTAGAGATTTGTGGAACTTTGAACTTGAAAGAGATGATTTACAGTATATGGCAGAAGAAATTTCTGAGCAGCAAAGCATCTAAGATGTGACTTGGGTGCTGTTAAAGGCATTCAGTTTTATAAGGGAATCAAAGCATGAAAGTTTGGAAAATTTGCAGCCTGACTGTGTGGTAGAAAAGAAAAACCCATTTTCTGAGGAGAAATTCAAGCTGGCTGCAGAAATTTGTATAAGTAATGAGGAGCCAAATAATGCTAATCCCTAAGACAGTGGGGAAAATATCTTCAGGGCATGTCAGAGGTCTTCACAGCAGTGGATGCCTAAGACAAAAAAGTGGTTTCATAGGCTGGGCCCAGGGTCCCCATGCTCTGTGCAGCCTAGGGACTTGGTGACCTGCATCCCAGTCACTCCAGTTGTGGCTGAAAGGGATCAACGTAGAGCTCAGTCTGTGGCTTCAGAAGGTGCAAGCCTCAAGCCTTGGAAGCTTCCACTTGGTGTTGAGCCTGCCAGTACACAAGTCAAGAATTGGGGTTTGGGAACCTTTGCCTAGATTTTAGAAAATGTATGGAAACACCTGAATGTAGAGGCAGATGTTTGCTGCAGAGGCAGGGCTCGCATGGAAAACCTCTGCTAGGGCAGTACAGAAGGGAAATGTGGGGTTGGAGCCCCCACACAGAGTCCCTACTGGGGCACTGCTTAGTGGAGCTGTGAGAAGAGGGTCACTGTCCTCCAGAGCCCAGAATGGTACATCCGCTGACAGCTTACACCATGCACCTGGAAAAGCCACAGACACTCAAAGCCAATCCATGAAAGCAGCTGGGAGGGAGTCTGTACCCTGCAAAGCCACAGAGGTGGAGCTGTCCAAGACCATGGGAACCTACCTCTGGCATCAGCATGACCTGGATGTGAGACATGGAGTCAAAGGGGATCATTTTGGAGCTTTAAGATTTGACTGCCCTGCTGGATTGTGGAATTGCATGAAGCCTATAGCCCCTTTGTTTTGACCAATTTCTCCCATTTGGAACAGCTCTATTTATCCAATGCCTGTACCACTATTGTATCTAGGAAGTAACTAACCTGTTTTTTATTTTACTGGCTTATAGGTAGAAGAGACTTGCCTTGTCTTGGATGAGGCTTTGGGACTGTAGACTTTTGAGTTAATGCTCAAATGAGTTAAGAATTTGGGGGACTGTTGGGAAGGCATAATTGGTTTTAAAATGTGAGTACATGAGATTTGGGAGAGGCCAGGGGCAGAATGATACAGTTTGGATGTGTCTCCACCAAAATCTCATCTTGAATTCCCATGTGTTGTGGGAGAGACCCAGTGGGAGGTAATTGAATCATGGGGGCAAGTCTTTCCCATGCTGTTCTCATGATAGTGAATAAGACTGATGAGACTTATGAGATGTGATGGTTTCAGAAGAGGAGTTTCCCTGCGAAAGTTTTCTGTTTTCTGCCACCATGTGAGACATGACTTTCACCTGCCATGATTGTGGGCCTCCCGGCCAGATGGAACTGTAAGTCCAATAAACCTCTTTCTTTGTAAATTGCCCAGTCTCGAGTATGTCTTTATTAGCAGTGTGAAAATGGTCTAATATACCATGGAAAGTCAGAAAAAATTACAACAGAGTTGACCAACAAACCAAGGACCCAGTGGAGAATTAATATAATTTTTGTTGCTGTTTTTCACCATTTTTTATTACTATAAATATTTTCCCAAAACCATATAAATTTTTTCAGCTTTATTGAGACATAGTTCATATATTATACAATTTACCCATTTAAAATTGCAATGCAGTGTCTTGTAGTACATTCACAGAGCTGTGCAACCATCACCACAATCAACTTTAGAACATTTTTGTCATCCAATAAAGACACTTCATAATCATTACTAGTTATTTCTCATTTTCTCCCAGTCACTCTCACCATTCTATCCCTCCACTTCCCAGCCCCAAGTAATCACTTGTATAGTTGGTTTCTATGTATTTGCCTATTCTGAACAATTTTTTAAAGACTTTGATCTTAGAAACATTTCTAACCAAAGAATATACTTGCTAGCATATATATACTTTTTGAGACAGGGTCTCATTCTGTCATCCAGGCTGGAGTGCTGTGACATAATCTTGGCTCACTGCAACCTCTGCCTCCTAGGCTCAAGCAATTCTCTCACGTCAGCCTCTAAGGTAGCTGGAATTACAAGTGCACACCACCACGCCCAGTTAATTTTTGTATTTTTTTGTAGAGACTATTTCACCTTGTTGCCCAGGCTGCTCTCAAACTGCTGGGCTCAAGTGATCACCTGCCTAAGCCTCACTAGCTTCTAAAATAGAGACTGGAATTTGCCTTTGGAGCATACTCTCTTTTTGTTTGGAGAAGCACTACAACAGTAGGCTCTTTTGGTTATGCAAATAAAAATTAAGTAAACACCCAATTAAGTTCTGCGGGGATAACTCATATGGCAGCACTTCCAGGTTGGATGTTGTTGTTAAGTGAATATCAAAGTTGATACACCCAAGTACCTATTTGCATATGCTAATTGACAGAGAGTCCGTGAAACAGGAAGTCATGAGAAAGAGAAAGGCTAAAGGAGGGGATTTTAAACTTCATTTCGTTTGTTTTTGCAGATATTCTTCTTGGTTATAGAATTCTAGGTTGACAGATGTTTTCTTTCAATATTTTAAAGATATTTCTTCACTGTCATTATATACATTAGGACAACTGAATTTTTCCGATGTGTGGTTCTTTTTCTTTTTTTTTAATCCTATCTTCTCTGTGTACTTTTGAATAATCTCTCGTGCTGTGTTTTCGAGTTTACTAATCTTTTCACATGCCTAGTGACACCATAAAATATTAGAATTGATTGAGGAACATCTACAAGACCAGATTGTAGGCTCATAAGAAGTCTATTTTAATACTCATGCCCCCAAGAAATTGATAAGATTGGCTATCTATCAGAGACATCTAAAAGCAGTTTGACATGATAATGTCGGCTTTGAAATTCTGATAACACTGGGAAAAAGTTAGATGTATCTCCATTTTTATGCTTTATAAAGAACCCTCTACAAAATGGGACAACCTAATAAAACTCTGCTGCAAACTGGGTACTAGCCAATCACAGACCTGACATGTGATGATGGGAAAACCTTCCTCCTTCCCTATCTCCTTAAAGATAATGGACTTGTCCAGTAAGAAAGGATGGAAGAGAATGGTATTGGCAGTATTGGTAATAGAATCATGATATAAGATACAGATTGTGATATTTTTAATTTTTAGCCAAAGCAGTTATGAGAAGCAGTACCAGGTTTTTGACGTGTTTGCCTAAGTGGTATATGGAGAGGATGGTCTCACCCTATAACTTGTCTACTGGTAGATTTGTGACAGTAAAAAACTGGGCCCCCTGAATTAGGACCTGGCCTACAGTACCATTTAATGCCTCTAAATCCCCAAGGGAATTCCATGCTCAGTAAGTTTTGGAGAATAAAATCTGAAGTGATAACCTGGAAGAATTTCTTAAAAGCTATTTGTTGTACTTCTCCAATTTGTCCAGGGCTTAATGAAATGGCTACGGAGTTATCAGCTAGCACTGTGTATGACTGACTAGAGTAACCACAGAGTTAGGGTCCTCTACTTACAATGCCATTGTGGCCACCACTGACATCACCCATATTTTTACCAGGAATGTTTTTGGGTTTCTATACTTCTTGTCACAAAGGTAGATTTCATGCCATAACATTTCAATTTCAGATAATTGAGGAAAACACAATTATTTTCATTTCCAGCTTAGCTGGTGAGGAGCTGTATTCCAATATGGCATCAAATTTCACTTCTCCACCAAGAGCTGGAATACAACCAACACAGTCCTGTAACCCTATTTTAGGAAAGCTTCAGAGATGCTGTGTATAATTATTAACTATTTACATTCTTCCTGTTCCACCTCTTGCAAAACATGTAGTGTTGCTCCATGCATATATATTTTAAGTGTTCATAAATGGTCTTAAGGTACAATTGTATCCTGATTCTTACATATTTTTTCAAAGAATTCTGTTATTACCATCAATTCATGTTGCTATATGAAAATCTAGCTTCAAACTGTAGCATAGTAGTTCCTAGTGGGAAGCTCCAAGTTTTTGATTATCCATCTATCCACCCCATCCCCCGAATGCATACTAGATTACCTTCAGCTCCCTGCTATCATAAATGCTGCTATAGTGAACATCTGTAAACATGTTCCTTTGTGGATCTGTGTAAGAATTTCTCTTTTCAGTTTCATCTTCTCTTAATTGCCCATTAACATTCTTTTTTTTCTCTGCTTCTCAGTAATTTGGAAGTATTTCTTGTAAATACAGATACTTTTAAATATCATTCCATCACTCATTTTAGATTTTGCAAATAACTTCACTCAAGTTGTCATTTCTCTCTTACTCTGATCATGGTGTCAAGATTCAGAACCAAATGCAGGATGTAAGGAAATCTAGGAAAACTTGCACAGCTTATCTGTAGGACTTCAAAGGAATTGTGATCATCTGTCCTGAACTCTTTCCCAGGAAGGCTAGTTCCATCAAAGTATTGGGTTGAATGATTTCACCTGGTTCTACAACTACAACTTGAAATGAAAAAAGGAGACTTAACAATGTTCACAGAGATTTAAATGCCTGGGCTTCCCAAGGGTGCCTTCACTATAAATATATCTTGGTTTCAGTGTCCTTTCAAAAGCCATCCAAATATCACCCCTTGATAATATGCTTATTTAGGTATATCACCAAACTATGTCTTATGAGTCATTAAACATCAGAAGGAGGTCAAGTGAAGAAACGAGAATCCTAGAGAGACTTAGTATCTTCATTAGGGTGGGTGTCCAGGGAATCATTAAAGTGAGTATCTAGGGAGAAAATACACAGCTGTTGCTTTCAAAACTGAAACAGAAATGCTTCAAGATATTAAAAAAATAAAAAAATAAGTGAGCTTCCTAATGCTAAATGAATCCTAAATCCTTTGAATATTTATTAGAGTGCAACTTAGCAGAAAATTTTCACATGGAAATGTTGAAAAATAGATTTGTGCCAGATATTGCTTTTGTTTTAAACTAAAGTAGTCCATTTAAATCTCCTTTTCAAGTGGGCATATTCCTAATGCAAAGAAAACAACTGAATTGATCATGAATTTGGTCTTTGCCCGTATGTCTTTGATGAAATTAAATTTTAGTGATGTGTTCATTTCTCTTGTTTTGTTTTATTTCTCACCAAAAAAATATATATCATTCTGAAAAGGTTAATGTTAGCTTGTTTTTGTTTTAAATACAATTCTCTGCTAACATTTCCATTTTCTGAAAGTTGCTAGGTCATATCTCCTATATTAATGCCACAGATATATGTGAGATCTATAATAGGAAGACCTACATGTAAAGATAGAGATGAAGATGGAGATGGAGATAGATATGTATCTAACTGCAAAGATTAAAAGGCATTTTGAAAATTTATATCTAATCTTTACGTTAAGACTCAATCATGTGAAAACCTATTGATCCCATAAACAAGCATTCTATCATTTTGTAAGATTGAATTCTAGCATTGTGAAGCTAAATTGGTTCAATTTGATTATCATAATAAATAGCTATCAGATAACTATCAAAGTTAGGCTATTTTTTTTTTAAAGAAAAAAACCAGACAGTTAAATGTTAAGTAAATTATTGATAGTTCATTGTTCCCCTATCATGACTTCTAAAGGTGCTGATTCACTGAAGTATTAAGACTCTTCTTACAACATGGGATTTATTTTAAGCATATCTTCAGACCAGAAGTTAGAGATATTAGTACATTTATTTCAATGACCAATCATTTTTCAAAGGACATTAGGAATAAAAGGCAGTAGTTAATATGCTGGAAAATATTTTTAATCATGGACTTAGAAAAACAGAGTTTAAAATTATGAAAAAGTATCTATTAATATCTACAAATCAATGCCTATTGATCCCCCTACAATGTACTCTGCTATTAAGAAGTTTCACATACAATGTTTATGTTATCTTACGTAATTTCCACTCCTAATCCTCACAGAGACCTACATCTCATTTTCCCCTCATTTTTACAGAAACAGATAATTCAAGATAGGCCTGATTGACCCCAAGCCACTGCATGCTAATTTTCTCCTCAACAATTGGTGTTACACTTGAAATAATAAAGTTGAAATGTCCGGAAGTTCTATAGCTCGCTCACTCTCTCTCTCGCTCCTCTTTCTGCCATCACTCTCTCCTGCTCTCCTTCTCTTTCCAATAGACAGTAGGTGTTACAGTCATTCTTTCTCTGACCTGTGAACAATAAAAAAGCAGATAAAGATCCAAAAATCTGGACATAGAGGAACAAGTTATACTACTCATATTTTGAAAGATATAAAGTGAAGCTCCAGATTTAAATTCACAGTCTTCTAAATCCAGAGTTAGTCAAAGTAATTTATAAGCCTCAAATAAGATAAAACAAGAAATAATGCTAGTTAGTAAGAAATATACGTACAAAATATTTTTTGACTCATAGCAACTCATTATTTGCTTAGAAAAAGAAGCAAGGGAAGATCCATCTGTTCCAATTTGAATGAGTTAGAAAAAAATTAAAGAAAGATAAATAGGATGAAATTTACCTTTCTGCAAATGTGAAAGCTGAGAGGCTCCAAATCCATTAAGGAAGTATTCACTAGAAATTGTGCAGGCAATTCTGTCTCCTCAAGAATCTGTTTTTCTCTGTGAATCCTTTTCTCCCTCAAAATTTCAATCCCCTGTCCCCACCAATAATTCTTTCTTCCTGATAAATAAATATCCCCAAGTATTCTCTGCCATAACAAACAAGAATAAACAAGCAAATCCTTGGCAGTCCTTTTTCCTCAAGTTGCTGCTCCCTATGCATCATTTCTTCCGTTGTCAAGCTTCTCAGAGCAAGGGCTTCACCTACAGATTCATTTCTCTGCAAATTCATCCTCATCCCCCTGGGAACTGACGTATTATTCACCTCTCACCTGAATCTCTTTCCCTCCTCATCTCCTAAAGTGCTTTAATTGGTTGGGCTTTTTTCTCATCTCTCTGTTTCTCCTCAATCTCTCTGGTTGGGTCTCCCTAATTTTCTAACTCCTTAAAAGTAGACATTCTTTAAGTTTGTGTCCTTCTCATTTTGTTCTCTCTGGAGATCCTGATCTGAATTCCCAGCTGCCTGTTGGGACATCAAAAACATTGAACCAATATATTTCTCCCCCAAAAAAAATTTGTCCCTTTTCCCCCTGCGTTATCTGGTGACATTCCTATTTTATCAGGATTATGCCAACAGCTGTAATAAATGACCTCTGAAAATCTTAGTGGCTTGACACAATGAAAGTTATTGCTTGCACATGTAAGTCCAAAATAGTGGTCCTAATCAATGGACTGCTCTCTGCCAGTAGTGACTCAGAGACTCAAGCACCTTTTGTATTATGACTTTGTCATCTTTAACACTTGGCTTTTAAGGTAATTGAGTATGTCTTCATGGAGCCATTAGAAGAAAAAAGAGAATGGAAAATAAGACAAAATTTTAATTTTGATTTATTTTTGATTCTTTGGTCAATGCTGAAAATGATGCACACAGCACTTCTGTTCATAGACTATTAACTAGAACTCATTCATATGACCACATCTAAGGAAGGTGTGTGTTAGGTTCCAGCCCCAGCTGACGCCTGAGAGGAGTGGGTGGATGAGTGGTAAATAGCTGAAAGAACACTTGGGGGGGCCGTAGGCAGGTGAAATATGTTTTTATTCAGCAGCTCTCTCATCAGCAGCTCTCTCACACTATCCACCTTTATCTCAACTGTCTGCTCCGACTCTGTGGCTCCTCTCAGCAGCTGGTTCTGCAGCCCCTGCTGCTCCCATGCACAGCTGCACAGCCAGCTCTCCCTACAGGTTCCGTGGCTTTACTGTCTCTACACACAGCCCCGCTCAGCAGCTTAACTCTTTCCCTCTGGGCGCACTTGCTGGTTTCTGGCTCCTGCCCCCCATGTCCATCTGCGAGATGAACAGCTCTGCCTCAAAGGGGTCAGCAGCTTCACATTTTCTCTCTGGGCACCAGCAACACCTGTACAGTGTCAGCAAGGCAATTATATGTTTTACAGACAATAGTGGCATAGAGCCAAGTATGAGCTTACACAAACAGATTATATAGCAAGTGAAGGTTTATGCCTGCACTCCAATCCCGCTGAGTCATGCAGGCCTGGATGTCTGCCTCAGCCTAATTCTTCACCGAAGCACTTCCTTGTACCTTACAGTTTCTTAGTCTGCTTGGGCTTCCATAACAAAATACTATAGTCTGGGTGGCCAAAACAACAGAAGTTTATCAGAGTTCTGGTGCTAGAAAGTCCAAGATCAAGGTGCCAGTCAATTTGGTTCCAGGTGAGGGCTCTTTTCTTGGCTTGAAGATGACCTCCTTTTTACTGTGTCCTCACATGGAAGAGAAAAAGAGGAGCAAGATCTCTCTCTCTTCCTCTTCTTGCAAGACCACAGCCCTATCAGATTAGGTCCCCACCTTATATCCTCATTTAACCTTAATTGTCTCTTGAAGAACCTATCTCCAGATGCAGTCACATTGTGGGTTTCAACTTCAACAGAGGAATTTGGAGGGGATATAATTCATTCCATAGCAGAAGGCCAGGAAATACAACCTATCTGTAGTCTCAGGAGAAAAAGAGGGAATAGGCTTAGTAAATGGCTACTCAGGCTCTGGCACAGCCCAACCTTCTGCTCATTAAATATCCATTCCACTCTTCTTTCCACACAAGAAACACAGTTAGCCCCTCCTAGAGGGATAGAAGCCAATGTCCCATCCAGGTACTGCCTCTAGCTCCAATACCAGGGTCTTTGGGTGATGCATGTTCCCCTCCATCATGTATAGGGGTGTCTTTTTATAGTTCAGTGACTTATAACCTAAAAATATAAGTTGTCGTCTGTCCCCCTCAACACACAGTAACTGCAATAAAGATTTCCATTGGAAAAATGATAAATAGTCACTGGTCCATAACAATGCTGTAATTCTTCCAGACAGGAATTTTGAGGAAGCTCTATCCTGGAAGCTGGGGGATTTCCTTAATCAGGTACTGATTCTTCTCTCTGGAGGAAGTTCCCTTGCCCATTGTTCTCTATGTCCCTGGCTTGACCTTGTAAACCAAAAAGTATCTGAGACAGGTCTCAGTCAATTGAGAGGTTTATTTAGCCAAGGTTAACAACATGCCTAGAAAAAAGGAATATGTGGTCCATGTCTTTTTCCAAAGATTATTTTGAGAGCTATAATATTTAAAGGGGAAAAGCAGGCTGAAAAGGAAAGAGGGAATGTATGCTCACATTACTGAATTCACATGTTGCAAGAGAAGAGGAGTAGGTAGAACAATAGTCCAATTATGTATTTGTCTTGTACTCAGTAAATCAGCACTTTACATAAGATAATGTGTACATATGTACTACCTGTGGATATTTTTTAACTTTTTATCTATAGCTATCTGCTTAGGAATGAAAGGAAAGGCAGTTTCTTGCATAAGTCAGCTTTCAGATTAATTTTTTCCTTTTAGCAGCATGAATTGGGGTCCTAAGATTTTATTTTTCTTTCATAACATTTTGGATGATTCTTCTCTGTACATTGTCCTCAATGGCCACATCTGAAGTGGGTGTCGAGAAGTATGTCTTCTTTAGGGTCATATGGCTTTTGTGACTGCTTCCTACTCATTTAAGTTTGGGAGGCTGAGAGTTGTTAAAAGGCTCCTGACATTTGCAATATCATTTCTTCCAATGCCTTCTGGACTACTTATTTCCAGTCATAGCCATGTGCCAATAACCACACTCAATGCTGTTTCCTAGACAGAATTCTCAGAGTGTGTTGTATTTTCTTGCTTTCTCTCTCCAGCAAGACTCTCTCTTTTTCAATTTAATGTAGGCTAACATGAGGCTCACTGCTCCTAATCTCATCTTTGCCACAGGGCTGAGTCTCAACAGACTCTTTCAGTATTATCTTTTACAATTTTCATTCTAGAAGTTGTTGGCCTCATCATCTTTATAATCCTGGAGTATGTGAGACATTTCAAGGAGTACTGGAACAGGCTTAATACCATGAGATCAGTGTCAAGGTGTTTTATGTCTTTATGTAGTTTTTTTCCTAAAACATACCTGCCTTAAGACATGCCTGAATTTCAGACCTAATTCTGGTTTTTCTCTCCCATCATCATTCCTTTCTTCAGAATCTCTCTTCCACCCCCAAAAGAAGGGGAAACACACACACACACACACACACACACACACACACACATTTCTTTACTCATCAGAATTTGTAATGGTACCCCAGGCTTGGGATGTTAAAAACCTTTGCATACCGAACAAAGGGACAGTTAGAAATATCAGTTCTCAGTTGAGAAAGTGAATGGCTCTACTGACTGCATTACAAATCTTTAAATCTTTTTTGTTGTTATGATATTTAGATAACTATGTTTTTCACTTTCAATAGAATTAAAGGAGGACCGAATGTCAGCTGATAGATCATCAAAATACATTTTTTATATTAGAGCAATAATCCAAAAGGAATTCAAAAAAATAAGACACTAATAAAACAAAACTTCTTTCATTCCCTTTTAGTTATTTAGGTAAAAAAGTTTCTCAGCATCTAAATCTTGTTGCAGGAAGTCAGGGACCCCGAACAGAGGGACCGGCTGAAGCCATGGCAGAAGAACATAAATTGTGAAGATTTCATGGACATTTATTAGTTCCCCAAATTAATACTTTTATAATTTCTTACACCTGTCTTTACTGCAATCTCTGAACATAAATTGTGAAGATTTCATGGACATTTATCACTTCCCCAATCAATACTCTTACAATTTGCTATGCCTGTCTTTACCTTAATCTCTTAATCCTGTCATCTTCGTAAACTGAGGATGTGTGTCGCCTCAGGATCCCGTGATGATTGCGTTATCTGCACAAATTGTTTGTAGAGTATGTGTGTTTGAACACTGAAATCTGGGCATCCAAAAGGAACAGGATGGCTGTGATTTTCAGGGAACAAGGGATATAACCATTGGGCCTGACTGCCTGCAGTGCCGGACAGAACAGTCATATTTCTCTTCTTACAAAAGCGAATAGGAGAAATATCACTGAATTCTTTTTCTCAGCAAGAAACAACCCTGAGAAAGAGAATGCATTCCCAGGGGGAGGTCTCTAAAATGGCTGCTCTGGGAGTGTCAGTCTTATACAGTTGTAGATAAGGGATGAAATAAGCCCCAGTCTCCTGTAGCGCCCCCAGGCTTATCAGGATTAGGAAATTCCTGCCTAGTAAATTTTAGTCAGACCGGTTGTCTGCTCTCAAACCCTGTCTCCTGATAAGATGTTATCAGTGACAATGCATGCCCACTGGGACATGAAACTTCATCAGCAATTCTAATTTCACCCTGGGCCTGTGATCTCACTCTGCCCCCATTTCCCTTGTGAAATTTTATTGACCTTGAAGCATGTGATCTCTGTGACCCACACACTATTTGTACACCCATCCCCTTTTGAAATCCATAATAAAAACTTGCTGGTTTTGCAGCTCAGGGGCATCACGGAACCTGCGGACATGTGATGTCACCCCCAGACACCCAGCTTTAAAATTTTCTCTCTTTTGTACTCTTTCCCTTTATTTCTCAGACTGGCCAACACTTAGGGAAAATAGAAAAGAACCTATGTTGAAATATTGGGGGCTGGTTCCCCCAATAAAATCTGCAAGAGTGAATAATATAAATAGAATTGTTGACGAGCTCTGTCTCATTCTGGGAATAAGTAATATTCACACACAGATACATCAATCAGCACCTCAGCTTGTTATCCTTGCTGACTCCCCTCATGATCACAGGACAGTTCCAGGAACCACATATGGATAGCAACCTCAAAACATAAAAGAGGCACTTCCTCAAATGAATCTTTTTCTCTGGGCTAGGAAACAATTTCCAGGAGTCCTACCGAGCAAACCTCTCCTATGTCTCCTTGGCCGTAAGTAGGTTGTAGTACTATTCCCTAAACCAATCACAAGCCAACATTTCCTGATTCACCTCAGACTACCAACTATCTGAACAAAATCAAAGTTCTATTAGCAAAAACAAAGTGTGGGCAGGCAACTAACAACGTCTGCCCACTGAGACAACTAGGATGTGTTCTAACTGCTCTTCTTTCCTCCAACCTCTCATATCCTCTGTGCACAGAGATTTGCTTTGCTCCCTAAGCACAAAATGGACCGTGTTATTTTCCTGCTCACAGAGAACTTTTAAAAGTTTTTTATTGCAAATTACTAGGAGTTGTGCAGGACAATTCTGAAAGACGTGTGTCATTCTGTTATTATTTTCAAGGAATGTAGGAGGCAATGGAAAATGTAGGAGTAGAAGAGAATGGGAAGGTATTTTGGAATCAGGTAAGGGTGGTTTTGCATGCAATGCTAATTCATTAACATAGAATGAGGCCTTCCACCGTATGCAATATATTATAAAGTCTTTGAAAAAAGAATTGAATCACATTCATCTTTGAGTGTTATTATTCTTTACAACTCCTAGCATAACCTTTATATGTAATTTAATACTCACTGAGATTTATTGAGTGTTTGCCATTGACAAGAACTGTTGTAAATGCTTCTCATATAACAAATAATTTAATCTCACTGCAAGGGAGGACTTTTCATCTTCAGTTTTCAAGCCATGAAACTGAGGTACATGAAGTTTAAGTAGCAGTCACAGGTGCTACGAAGTGCAAGTGATTGAATTTGCTCTCTTCATCTTATAATACTGCCTCTAAATAGCATTCAGTAATTGGTTATCTGATACAACTTATGGAAAGCTCTCTGAATTAATAATTTCAGCTTGTTACCCAGCAATCTAGTGTTGTTGATTACTAGTTATATGCCAGTGCTGAGTGCTTTCACATGCATTAACTTATGGAATACTAGTTTTCCCATTTTACCAATGTGGAAAGTTAAATCAGAGATATTAAGTAGTTTAGCTTACATCACCCTGCTGGTAAGTACAAACCAAAAATAAAATCTGAAGCTCCCTCCTCCCCCAACCCTTTGAATAGACTTCCTCTTCTGGGCCAGGGCACTCCAAAGCTAACCTAAAAGGTTGGTTCAGTCCATTACTGGAAGGGATAGTGTTGGACATATTTAATTATGCCCTCCCTCCTTTTGGAATTCAGGAAAATCTGACCAGCATTTAACATCAACATAGACCTTAAGTCTGATAGGAAACATTTACAATCTATTCTCTCTGAAGCCTGCCACCTGGAAGCTTCATCTGCATCACAAAAACTTGGTCTTCACAACCTCTTAAAACCTGGACAGTCCTTTCTATAGATAATAACTGTTTCAACCAATTGCCATCAGAAAATTTTTAAATCTACTTATAACCTGAAAGCCCACTTGCTTCAAACTGTCCCATTTTTCTGGACCAAACCAATGTATATCTTAAATGTATTTGATTGATATCTCGTGTCTCCCTATAATGTAAAAAAAAAAAAAAAAAAAAATTGAGCTGCATCCCAACCACCTTGGGCACATGTTCTCAGGATCTTCTGAGGGCTGTGTCCTGGGCCATGGTCACTCATATTTGGCTCAGAATAAATCTCTTCAAATACTTTACAGAATTTGACTTTTTCTGTTGACATAAGTATTAGAGCTATGCTTTCTTTTCCCATTACATCAAGCTACAAGTAAGAACAATATGATTATTTATAAAATCAGGTAAAAAAATCAAATTAGCTTTTTCCAATAAAGTGGTTGAGCCCAGAGTAATTATGACATCTAGGAAAGCCTTCCCTCCATTTGTGTTTTTTAGAAATTCTATTACCTGAATCCCTTGTTTGAACTGGGTCTGTCTTACAGGAAATTTTCTATGCATTATCAAGTTCTGCATGTCCACACGAGTTGCTGTGAGGTCTGTTACTATGAATTCTTGGGTCTACAAAATGTTTAGAAAAACAATTACAAAGTTGATTTCCTCTGCCAGTGAATTTACTTAAAATGCTAATCCAAGGAAGCTAAGAATCACAATAAAACAATTCAGAAGCTGACAGACAAAATAGCCAGGATAGAAAAGAACATAACTGACCTGATAGAGCTGAAAAACATACAACAATTTTATAATGCCATCATAAATATTAATAGCAGAATAGACCAAGCTGAGAAAAGAATCTCAGAGCTTTTTAACTAAAGCCCATTAAAGCTTGACTTTAATCAATCAACACTTGATACTGGATCTCTTCCCCTCCTCTTTCCTTCTGCCTCCTCCTGTTGTGTGCTTAGGATTGTGTTAAGCATTAGGAAAATCCAAATAAGTGTTCAACAGGTTACCATCCTTTGAGGACTTTTAAATCCCATTCAGTAAATAATATTTCAACCACTAAACAATTACATACTTTATCACAGTGGTGTGTGGTATATGCTGTTATAATTACACACATAAGGTCCTAAGAAATCTTAAGATATCAAAAAATGTGTAAACACTATTAATTTAAAGAGACACAGGTTCAGCTAAACAACTTCAGACTCACTATGCAAAACCATTAACCCTGCAGGAATTTCACTAAAAAACATCATTTTTAAAACAAAATATCCTGTAAGTACATGTTGTTATTGCAAGTTAAAAACAATAAGTTGGTGGATTAAAACTGATAAAAGCAGCTGTAAAGTCCTCCTCCTTTGATCTCTAATCCACATAGTCAATAACTGTTTTTTCTTTCTCTGTCACCCATGACCTTTATTTTTGCAATTTTGCTTCTAGCAAAGTTCAAAAGGTAAACAAGAGAACAAAGGAATGCAATGATAAACAAAGCACCACACAATGAAAAATCAGAAATGCTAGAGAGCAAAAAGCAACACTGCTCTCCCAATTGTAAAGGAATAGTTCCCAGTTGTGACCAGCATTATAACCAACTGGGATCCAGTTAATGCAAATCTTGTTAAGCTGTGTCTAAATCACATAATGAAAACTGTCAAGGAAATGCATGCATAACCAAAAGCTTTTTCTTTTGTTTTTGTTTTTGAGATGGAGTCTTGCTCTGTTGCCCAGGCTAGAGTGCAGTGGCACAATCTCAGCTCACTGCAACCTCTGCCTCCTGGGTTTAACTGATTCTTGTGCCTCAGCCTCCTGAGTAGCTGGGAATACAGGGGTGTGCCACCATGCCCAGCTAATTTTTGTATTTTTAGTAGAGACAGGGTTTCACCATGTTGGCCAGGCTGGTCTTGAACTCCTGACCTCAAGCGATCTGTCTGCCTCGGCCTCCCAAAGTGCTGGGATGACAGGTGTGAACCACCATGCCACCAAAAGCTTTTTCAATGCATGCCATACATAAGTACCTTAAGAGTTCATAACAATAATCAAAAAATACTGGAAGAGTCAGCAAAGGTTTTATGAGGTGTGGAATTTTAAGCTGGGCAATGAAATGATATGTGAGATGTATATAGATGAAATGAACAGTATCTCAGCAGGAAACAATACCTATGAGAGAGTTTAAAGAAGACAAATGAACTTGGAATGGGTGTGGTAGCAAACTGATTAAGCCAGCATGGTCATTTGTAATTATCGGAAGTTTAGAATAGATGTCAGTAGCCACCCACAGGTAATAGCTATCAGGTGTAACAGCTCTACAGAGCCTCCCTACCATCTCACTGTCAATTTCCAATAAAAATACCTCTTAAAGTGAAAGTTTTTACACCTATAAACATTTATTAGCAAGCAGACAAATAAATAAATAGAAACCTGTTTCATGAGGTCAAGTCCCAGCTCTTTGTCTAAATTTTTAGTTGTCCTGACCATAACTGGCAAGAGAGGGTCAATAGAGATAAAAGTGATCATATTCCAGAGGCAGGGACAACTGATCTTGTGTTCAGCATTAGGCAAAAAGATATTTCTGAACATGAGGCGGCCCATAGGCAACATTCTGGAATCAAGCCAGGGGCACCATTCCAAATGGTACAGACTCTTGGGCCTGCTAGATTCTTACATGCTGTCCAGATTTCTGGCCAATCCACATATCTTGAACACAATTCATTTCACTAATGAAAATTTAATTTCTAACATTCCTTTTGCTAATTGACAAAGCATCTCGTGTTGATTACAGCTAACGAGAGTTGAAGAGCTCATAGGCTCTCTCTCCTCTGAGAGAGCTTTGATTAGATGCCACATCACCACCCCCAAATTGTGTATTCCCCCTTCAGGCCACTAAACACTGCCTAGGTGGATTAAAACTGATGAATATACCCCTACATCACACCATTTCTGATGAAGGATTTTAAAAATTAAATCACCACTGACAAAACAGGTGGGAAGCAGCAATGAATCCTCTAGTGAACCAGTCTGAAGCAGAGTGAATGTTGGCAGATATGAGGAGGGGAAAGCTGCTACTAGATTATGGAAAGAGCTCACTACAGGGAAGGAGTTGAACAGGCATCAGGGAGCTGCCTAGCAGGGAATGGAGCAGCGTTCTCATCACAGGGCAGCCTGCAGGAACTCAGCTCTAGAGGAGGGCCGCTGGGTGTGAACACTAACTCTACCAGTTACTAGCTGTGTGGACTTGAGCAAATTATCCGTATGCCTCAGTATCTTAATTCACAAAATGGAGATAATTAAAACACCTCATTCATATAGTTGGGAAGAGTTAATTATAAAATAATATAAGGCTCTTATACTGGTATCAAAACTGATGATATAGCTGCAGATGGAATCTGAAGGCCTGAGAATCAGGAGAGCTGATGGTATAAGTTCTGGTACCAGTCTGAGTCAAAAACAGAATACTGACGTCCTAGCGCAAAGACAGCCAGACAAAGAGAGCAAATTCTCCTTTACTCAGCCTTTCGTTCTATTCAGGGCTTCAGTGGATTAGCTGAGGAGGCCCACCCACAGTGGGGAGGGCAATCTGCTTCACTTTGTCTACCATTTCAAATGTTAATCCCATCCAGAAACATCCTCACAGACACCCCAGAATAATGTCTAACCAACTATCTGAGTATCTGTTATTCAGTTAAGTTGACACGTAAAAATACTCTTCACTGTGAATAGCTTTGAATAATCACAGATTAAGCTTGTAGCTTCTATGGCTTTATAATTCCCTCAAAAACTTGATAGGCTTCTCATCTGATTTGCCTCCAGCCGGTTTTATGTACCAGGAATTCACTCACAGTCTTTTTCTGGACATAGATCTTCAGTGCGCTTTGTGTACTGCTATACTGCTAGGTTCATAGTTTTTTTCCCTTATTTAATGGAAGCCACATTGAGGCACCTAAAACAAACTTGTGTGAGAAGGAAATGCTCTTATTCTGACCTTTGATCACAGGGCTCTCTTCCTTTGTTTGGCTGAGAAGTCTTAATGGGAGGTCCCAGGGAAAGGCTCATTGTGAAGTCTTACGCCTGCTATTTGGGGTACAGAAGACATTAGCTTTTCTAACCTGTAAAGTCCCAAATTTCTGAATTTTTAATCTCTTCTTCTGGATGAAAGCCACTAATTCTAACCTGATCATGTCTCTCTTATAATAGCTTGCTAATAACATCAGAGGGGCACAGGAATTCACATTTCAGATTAGCTTTTTCACCTCTAGGTGCCCAGGTCTAGCCAAGGTCATTGGTAGAGGCTTTCTGAGAATCACTCTGTCTCTGATGCTGCAGACTAAGAGAGTTGTCAGTAGCTTCCTGAAGGTTTCTAAGGCTTCTAGCAGCTTACAGGTGAGCTCTCAAGCACTTCTTGGTAAGATCAGCAGTGACAATCCCTTGCTCTTCACTCCCTTTGTCCTTACATTGATTGTGGGAGCCTATATAGATTGACTTTTATTTTCCTGACCAAACTCAAACTGTGGCACCATATTTCATAAAACTTAAGTCATCTCAAATGTAACACCCACCATTATTTTATTTGAAACAAGAAAAGAAAAAATGTTTGCTAAGTAAACTATGATATGTTGTACATTCTAAAAACATCCTGATTTCAGAGATATTTGACTGTTTCAAACATGCTTGTATATGGTATGAAGTAGAGTCAACTTTTATTTTTTTCCCAACAGGGATACCTAATTGTTTTGGCACTGTTGATTAAAAATGGTATCCCTTCTCCACTGACCTGCAGTCCAGCTCTTCATATATCCAGTATCTTTAGTGTGTGGTCTGATTCTGGACTCTCTAGCCCATTCTACTGGTTTGTCTAGCCCCATACCAATACCATGTTGCCTTAGTTACTATATTGTCAAAAAAATGTTTGATAGCTAGTAAGAAAATCTTCCCAACTTGCTCTTCTTCATGGCAATCCTGACCTTTTGTATTTCTATATAAATTTAGAATTAGATTACCAAGGTAAACACAAAGCACTGTGGGGATCTTGGTTAAGATGGTGTTGACTCTAAATGAAACTGGGAAAAACCAACATATATAGTATTTAGTCTTTTATTCATTAACATATATATCCATTTTATAATATTTTTCCATAGTCTTTTAATATAATTTGAAGAAGTCTGGCCCATATTTTGTTGGATTCGTTCCAAAATGCTTCATATTTTTTAAGCTTTTGTGAATGATGTCTTTATACAATTCAATTCATGTTTGCATATCATTTTTGCAAACTCTCGTATAACTCTCTGTGAATAATGACAGGTGTGTTCCCTCCTCCTAATCTTTGTATCTTTTATTTCTTTTTCTAGCTTTATTGGTCTCACTAGAACCTTGAGTAAAGTGTTGAATGGACATAGTGATGGAAGACATAATTGTCTACTTCCTAGTCTCAAAGAGGAAGGAATTCAACATTTCACCATTAATTGTGATGTTTGCTATGGTTGTTTTGGAGAATAAGAAAGTTCTCTTTTCTTTTATTTCTAGTTTGCTAAAAGATTTTATCAGGATAATGTTTTCCAAATGTTTTATTATGTGGTGATAAATGGACAACAGCATCCTAGACTGCAGTGGCTGTTTTTTTTTGTGTGTGTGTGTGTGTGCATGTGTGTCACCTACCTTTTGATCACTAATATGTAACATATCATAATGTGTTGTTTTGATGGAACACCATTCCCAGGTACCTATTTCTGAATTTGTTAGGGTAAAGTTTAAACTGTTCTAATAAAAAAATTCTCACCACACAGCATTTTATGTCTTTCTTCTTCTTCTTCTTCTTCTTCCTCCTCCTCTTTTTTGATACAGGTCTCTCTCTGTTGCCCATGCTAGAGTGCAGTGGTTTGAAGAAGTCTGGCCCACCAGCATATCTCACCATCAGTTTAAATGAAATGCTTTGTTTCCCACACAGCAGTCTGACTGTCCTGTCAGCAGTGCTTTATTTCATGTTGTCATCCACTTGAGATTCTTTTGAATATACTTTACTACCTAAAGAAAGGAAAATGTGTACTACTATTCTGATGTATTTCAATATAAAAATCATGGATGCTGCTTAAAATGATCATATCAAATGTGGCAGATTGCGAATTGAACCCACCAAGTCTGTCCTTCCCTCTTCCATGCACATGGCTGCCCAGTTAGGGGGTACAATTCCAAGCCCTTCCTTGCAGCTGCCTGTGGCCATGTGACTTAGTTTGAGAAGATGGGAAGTGAAAGAAAGGAAAGGTCACAACTTCCAGATCATCTCCTTTTCATAGACAAGCTTCCTTTCCAGGAGTCTGGCTCTTTTCTCTTTCATGAAAATTGAAAGACAGACCTGCCAACAACCCAGTTGTGAACATGCAGGTGAAGATCATGACCTAGGAGGGGGCAGAGCAGCTGTCAGACATTTTTCTATTTTTTTTTAAGAGATAGGGCCTCACTCTGTCACCAAGGTGCAATCATAGTTCACTGCAGCCTCAGATTCTTGGGCTCAAGCGATCCTCCCACCTTGGCCTGCCAAAGTGCTGGTATTACAGGCATGAGCCACCACACCCAGACTACTTTACTTATTTTTAATTTGCCTCCTCCATTCCATTAGCATAGTCACATTTTAGGAAAGATGTTTTATCATCAGCCAGTAAAATAAGAGTTAAAGAATTAATTGTAAAATTTCTTATTGCAATATTTCCATTAAAAGCTAATAACATATTCAATTCTCTAGGAAAAGAATACTGGAAGTATGTGTTAGTAAATAAAACCAATAGTTCAAGCATTTTCTAGTTTTACTTGCCACTAAATTCAAGCCTAGCAGCAGTTTTCAAGTGCCTGTATTTTGTAGTAGACATTGATGAGATTGTGGGAAATAATCAGGAATAAGACAGACACTGACTCCATGCACATACCCATTGCTCTTTCTCTATATCTCTCTTTACTTTTTCCCTGGTCTCTGAAATTTGGCTTATGAATACAGGTGTGATGGTTAACACTGAGTGTCAACTTGATTGGATTGAAAGATGCAAAGTATTGATCCTGGGTGTGTCTGTGAGGGTGTTGTCACAGGAGATTAACATTGATTCAGTGGGCTGGGAAAGGCAAACTCACCTTTAATCTGGGTGGGCATAACCTAATCACCTGCTATCACAGCTAGGATATAAAGCAGACAGAAGAACATGAAAAAACAAGACAAGACTGGCTTAGCCTCCCAGCCTACATCTTTCCCCTGTGCTGGATGCTTCCTGCCCTCAAACATTGGACTTCAAGTTCTTCAGCTTTGGGACTCAGATTGGCTTCCTTGCTCCTCAGCTTGCAGATGGCCTATTGTGGGTCCCTGTGATTATGTGAGTTTAATACTCCTTAATAAACTCCCCTTTATATATGTATCTATCCTGTTTGTTCTGTCCCTCTAGAGAACCCTGACTAATATAGCAGGTAACCACCGAAGAGTATATTTGAAATTGTTTGGTGGCTATTGGAGAGATCCCACCTTCAAACTAAATCAAATCTTCAAACTCATTTCAAACAGACCTCAAGTATTTATTGTTGCAGCACAAAGAAAAATTATCACTGTTTTTGGTTTCCCTGGTTAGACTATTTTGAAGATACTCAAATATTAGAGCAGGGTACAGTCTAACCTGTAAAAAATTCATTATCTGCTGGTCATTACTTAAAGGGATAACTAATAAAAAACTATAATAATATTTGAAGTTCACAAGCTTAGTTATATATTACCTAATATTTATGTAGTGTTAATTATGTGCTAAGTCCCTTCCATGTATTAAGTCATTTAATCCTCACGTGAAATCTCTATGAGGCAGATATTATTTGATACGGTTTGGATATTTGTCCCCCAAAATCTCACACTGAAATGTAACCCTCAGTGTTAGAGATAGGGTCTGATGAGAGGTGGTTATATCCTGGGGGTGGATTTCTCATGAATGGTTTAGCACCATTCTCTTGGCATTGTCCTCATGATAGTGAATGCTTTATTTTGATGTCTAGTTGTTTAAAATCCTGTGGCAGCCTGCCATTCCCCCTCGCCCCGCTAACCACTTGCTCTCACCATGTGAGGCACCTGCTTCCCCTTCACCTTCTGCCATGATTCTCAGTTTCCTAGGCCCCCACTAGAAGCTGAGCAGATGCTGGTGCCGTGTTCATACAGCCTGCAGAAACATGAACCAATTAAACATCTTCTCTTTTTAAATTACCAAGTCTCAGGTATTTCTTAATGCAAGAATGTCCTAACACAGAAAATTGGTACCAAGAAGTGGGACATTGCTTTGAAAATACCTGAGAATGTGGAAATGACTTTGAAACTGGGTAACGGGCAGAGGTTGGAAGGGAAGGGCTCATAGGAACATAGAAAGATGAGGGAAAGTTTGGAACCAGTCTCTGAGAGACTGGTTAAATGGTTGGGATCAAAATGCTGATAGTGATATGGACAGTGAAGTCCAGGCTGACAAGGCCTCAGATGTAAATGAGGAACATATTGGGAACAGGAGCAAATGTCACTCATGTGATGCCTTAGCAAAGAGCTTGGCTGCATTCTATTAATGCCCTAGGGAACTTAAGTTCAAACTGTGAAAGTCTGAACTTAAGAGTGATGACTTAAGGTATTTGGTGGAAGAAATTTATAAGCAGTAAAGTGATCAAGATGTGGCCTGGCTGCTTCTAGCAAGCTATTTCAAGTGCAGGAGCAAAAACATGACTTAAAGTTGTAGGTTATATTTAAAAGGGAAGAAGAGTGTAAAAGTTTGAAAACTTTGCACCCTAGCCATGTGGCAAAGAAAGAAAAGGCTCTTTTGGGAGAGAAATCCAAGCAGGCTGCAGAGCAACTATTGCTAGATAGAATTGCATGTCTATAAGAGAGCCAAGTGCTAATAGCCAAGACAATGGGAAAAGGGGACTTCAAGGCATTTCAGAGATTGAGGCAGCCCCACACATCACAGGTCCAGAGGCCTAGGAGGAAAGAATGGTTTCATGGGCCAGGCCCAGAGTGCCAAAGCCCTGCACCACCTTGGGAGGCTGTTCCCAGCATCCCCACTGCTCCAGCTCCAGCTGTGGCTGAAAGGGCCACTGGTACAGCTTGGACTGCTGCTTCAGAGGGTGCAAGCTGTAAGCGTTGGAGACTTCCACATGCTGTTAAGCCTGCAGGTATGCAGAGTGCAAGAGTAAAGGAGACTTGGCAGTGTCGCCTAGATTTCACAGGATGTATGAAAAAGGCTGGTATACAGGCAGAAGTCTGCTAAAGGAGTTGAGCCCTCACAGAGAGCCTCTACTAGGGCAGTGGAAGGGAAATGTGGGTTTGGAGGCCCCACACAGAGTGTGCACTGTCTATGAAGCTGTGGAAGGAGGTCACTGCCCTCCGGAACCCCAGAATGGTGGTAGATCCACTGGCAGCTTGCGCCCTTCACATGGAAAAGCCACAGGCACTGAACTCCAACCTGTGAGAGCAGCCAGAGAGGCTGAACCCTGCAAAGCCACAGGGGTGGAACTGCCCAAGGTGTTGGGAGCCCATCCCTTGCATCAGTGTGTCTTGAATGTGGGAGTCAGAAAAGATTATTTTGGAACTTTAAAATTTAATAACTACCCTGATGGATTTCAGAGTTGTGTGGGGTCTGTACCCAATTTTTTGGGCCAATTCCTTCCTTTTGGAATGAGAATGTCTTCCCAATGTCTATATGCCATTGTATCTTAAAAGTAAATAACTTGTTTTTTATTTTACAGGGTAATAGGTGGGAGGAACTCATCTCCAGATGAGACTTTGGACTTGATACTTTTGATTTAATGCTGGAATTAGTTAAGAGTTTGGGGGACTATTGGGAAGTTGGGAAGGCATGATTGTATTTTTCAATGTGAGAAGAACATGAGGTCTGAGGAGCCAGGGAGGAATGATATAATTTGGATATTTGTCCCCCCAGATTTCACACTGAAATGTAACCCTTAGTGTTGGAGGTGGGGCCTGGTAGGAGGTGACTGGATTATGAGGGCAGATTTCTCATTAATGGTTTAGCACCATCCCCTTCTCTTTATAAATTACCCAGTCTCAGGTATTTCTTTATAGCAATGCAAGAATAGCCTAATACATTGCTAGTATTCATATTTTACAGATAAGAAAACAGGCTCTAAATAGTTAAGTAATTTGCTCAACTAATATAATATTCAAGTATACTAGGCTTAGTTTATTAGTATAGTATCTTTGTATGAAGTCACTGTCTGGCTCTCATATTGCTTCCCTATGGCCTTGTTTTTACTCTGCCTCATTTTATCATCTGCTTAAAATGTATGTCGTAGAACTGCATTGTATACATCAATAGGTCTATCTTAAACTTTTTTAGAAATAAGCAAAATGTAAAAAAGTCAATCACTTAAATTTTATATCTCTTTACGTGATGTAAAGTCTTTAATGTTTAATTTATGTGTATTTTTCAGAGTAGTTTTATTTAAATGGTTTTAATTACTATAAAAATATAGTAATAATTCTTAACTTTTTGGAGGACACTGATCAAGTCCAAATGGAAATTTTCTCCTGTTAGGAATTTACTTTGTAATCTAATATACACAATTATCAATGAGCCATAAATATTTCCTTTATGTTAAGAATCATGCAACATAGAATTTGCCAAAAGGGTACAAATTTGTAGCAGCCCATAAACCACAAATGCAACTATGTAGGAAGTCACATATTTTATGCATCTCAACTACCAATAATAAAAACAATAAAAACAAGCTAAAAGAAAGACTAAATTATCTTTCTGACTTTGCCATAAAAATTATATTAATTATTGTCACATGAATAGGCAATAAAAAATTATGTTGCCAAAGATATAGGGAAAATGTCCTAGAAATATGTGTCAGATTGCTCATGCTTGTAATCCCAGTATTTTGGGAAGCTGAGGCAGAAGGAACACTTGAAGCTTGGGGTTTGAGACCAGCTTGGCATAGGAAGACCCCATCTTTGCAGAAAATTTAAAAATTAGCTGGGTGTGGTGGTGTGCACCTGTAGTCCCACTCGGGAGGCTAAGGTGGGAAGACTGCTTGAGCCTAGGATTTCAAGGCTGATGTGAACTGTGATAGCACCACTGAACTCCATCCCAGGCAGCTGAGCAAGACCCTGTCTCTAAAAATATACACATATTTATAAATATTTATGTATATATGTACAATGTACACATATATAAAATGTTATTTTTCTGGATTTTGTAATGATTATGGTATTATCGTCATTTCAAATTTTAAATTCGTTGTGATTTCTTTTCTCATTCTAAATAAATATACTTTCTCACTTAATTTTATATTATTTTTCTCATAGAGCACCTCCAAAGTTATTTAAACTTTAGCTTCCACCATAAAACTTCCTTTGCCTGTACTTTACACTCATATTATGTGATTGTTAGGAGGGTAAAATTTTTAAATGCATTTTAAATAACTTGAAAAAGTAAAAAGAAATACAAGACTGAAAAGTGTTGGTATTATATTACTTTTACTATGACTCATTTTTACCTAAAACTTCCACACATGGTACAAAGACTTCCATGAATAAGTTTCCATTTCCATCTCAAAGTTGTGGGTCATGACTGCTGAGTGATGTGACATCTCAGGAATTGAAGTAGGAGATATGTTCTCTGCACTGAAAAGGTTTAGGAATTCCTGAGGAATTTCCTCAGTTGCACAGGTATTCACTTGTTGAGCATCTACCGTGAGCCAGACAATATGTTATGTGACAAAATGATTCAAAAACAGATCCTGCATTCAAGGTAGTCTTAGTGATAGCATTCATTCATTAAGAATAGATTGATTTTTGAAAAATCCAAAAGTCATTTGGAAGTAATGGGGTGAATGAGTTGAACAAACTTTAATAATCATGTTTGAGGCTATAAGAAGATACTAAGATAATGAGATTAATTTTTTTTATATGGCCCATCTAGTAGAGCTTTTGAAATATTTATTTATACCATTCATTCATGACTTTATAGTCATATTTTTGTATACATTGTGGTTTGGAGATCTTCTTATACACTCTTTACTGCCTTCAGTAAAGAGAAAGCCAATGCAGCTACATTTTTACACATTAAATTTTTCAGTGAGAAATTCACCAACACGGATTGTACTTTAAAAAACATAAAATTTATTTTTGAAATTATGTATGCACAGACATGGGTGAATAAGATCACTATTTTCACTGAGGCAGAGCATCTGCTTGTAGTGACATAATTATTAATTACCATTAGATAATTAAATCTTACCTCACATCTGTGAAAAATGGCCGTTGGTTTGCAATTTTGCCCAACTTTCAGGATTTCTCCTTTCTTGATGAAAATACTCTACTTATGAAGATGTAAAAAGAAACTCATAATAATCAAATATCAAATCAGTGAAATTTTTTGTTTATTGTCTATTGGAGCCCACTAATATAACTAAATTTAAATGCAAACTTGAACCTCCTTAAATATCTATCCCTTTTGCTTATATTGACTTTGGTTTTACTTATTATGGAAATCAGTGTAGTTTAATTCCTTCACTGCTCATTCTCTCCCATTCATGAACTTCTTTCCCATCCATAGCTCTAAGAAAAACAAAACAAGAATGACATGTTAGGAAATTTAACCAATATTGAGGAGTTGAATCCTTCAACCTCCTGTGCAACCTCTAGGTCATTACACCTGTTACTGCTTTTGTTTTGTTAGCTAAAAACATAGGCGGTATGCTCAGCTTTAGCACTGGCCTCACTGGAGCCAGGACGTATCCTAATGTGGAAGGCAGGGACCTGCTCTGCTATTGACATCCCCATCTTCAATGCCTTAACATATGTTTTATATTTAAAAGGGACTTAATAAATATTATTTATTTTCACTTATAAAATACAATTTATGATGTATTAAATATGTATTTTGAAATTCATAAGCATTTTATTTACTTTTATAAATATTGCATATATGTTTACTTCAATAAATATTTAAAGTTACCAAGTAAAATGTACTCAGTAAAATCCCCCCCTTTCAAAGTTATTCTCCAGACTATAAAAAGGTGTAACTTGACGATGATGCAGCTCTGAATAAAGCCCTCCTTTTGCTCACTACTACCCTAGGTTATGACTTTTTAGCCTGGTTTATAAAACCTGACATCATCTGCCTCTTCTTAGCTCTCCTGCTTCATACCTTGCCATTGCAATCATCACACGCTCTGCTCAAGCCACAGGCTCTTCGAGTTGTATCTTTTATTTCTAGGCCCTCTTTTTAAATACTTTCAGAAACTGTTCACATTGAAATCTCCAACCAAATGAATATCTAGCCTAAAACTTTCTTCTGTTCTCTCACATTAATATATTTAAGGAGAGATGGTAAGAGATTAAGTTTTAGAATATTCATTGGAAGGTGAGCTGTTGGAGGACAAGGAGGCAATAGACCACGATTTTTAAGATAACCTCTGGATGCTCAGGTCTGAATTCCTACCAGGACATCTGCTGCTTAGAGAAAACCACTGGGGTATTCTTACGTTTCTTATTTAGAAACAAACTTAAAGCAGATTTATATTTACTTCCACCACATGCATATAAGGAAAGGATGAGATTTTCTGGAGGTAGAAAGCTCTGAGAAGCTTAAATTCTGTGCCTTGGGGAGTAGGAGTTTGAGGAGCAGACTCTTTGAGGAGAACAGGACAGTCTGCAGCAGTGATTGAGCAGCAGCAAGAGCAGTGAGGCCTGGCCAACAACTCAGGAGAAGCCTCCTAACATTGCCCTGTCCCAATGCCAGCCACCCACAACCTCCCTTGGCTTGGCTACTTGCCACCACTTTTTCACATTTCAGCTTGTACATCAGCGCCCTGGCACCCATCCTGGTAGCAACCATCCTGGTATTGAATTCACACCATCTTCTGGGATCCTTCCTGGGGTATCAAATCTTGTATTACAGAAGAATGCCCACAAATCAATACATTCTGCATTCATCAATTTTATGTTAGCCTTCTTGACTGACCAAGCACCCTTAGAATCCTTTCCCATTTATAGGATCTTGTCTTTTGCTGATACGTGGTGACTCAGTCTTGCAACGCCTTTGAGGTATATTCCCTTTCCTCCGTTATTAGGCCCAGAGCTTCCCAGCTGGATTCTGCTGAGACTTGACTCTAGGTCTGTCTAGGCCTCAAGGCCAGGAGGAGACATAGGGGAAGATCCTGGGTGGGTCGAGGAGTGGGGGTGGGGAACACACTGACTTTGAGGAGAGGGGCCTTTGCATTGTCTCCAGGCATGTAGAGGGGTTAATTCAGGGGAATCTGGGTGCTCAAGATTTGGAGATGGAGGGAATCCCCTGATATGTCACCAGTCTATATGTCAGGGTTCCATTCTATCTCAACCAGGGGGCTCTTACCTTTGTATAGCCCACCTGCCTAGGTTAGTAGTTTAAACCTTTCTGGAGCTGAGTTGCTCTGACAATTAAGTCCTGGGCGGGTCCACAGCTTTATCTGATCTCCCTCTTCAAAAGATGAGAGCCTCTTTGTAAGATACACAGGCCCTCTGGCTTTCACATTTGATTTTCAATTGCCTATTAAATGCTTTCAGCTTCTCATAATTTTTAGAGCATCCATCAAATTCACCTACAGCCATCAAATTCCATTGTTCTTAAAGTTTACATTTCCTCTGTACTTTCAAATAGTTGATGCATTGCACCAGTGACCATATTCCTTTTTACCAGTGTATCATCCCAATTCACCTACAGTGTTAGTTTTTAACAGTTGCAGCATATGCTGGTACCAGGAGCTATTCGCACTCTACCTACCAGAGATGGAGCCTTTGTTGTCAGCTCAGCAGAGAGTGGTCTGACTCCAAAACTCAATCTTATCACTTGCTTTCTCTGCAGACTCTTGGTACCAACCAAGAGTAGGTAGCAGGCTCTAGGAAGCAGACCCAGTGGTAGAGGTTAGTGTTTAGAATGTTTATTAAGGAGTGACTTTGGGATCGATACCTATGCAAGGAAGGGAAGTGGGGAAAGGAATGGAGGGAGATGTTGTCTGTGCAGGCCTGACATCTTGTGCCAACACCACAGGAAGGTCTGGCACTGAATGGCGCCTCATTATTATCTTTCACTGGGCTAAAATGGTTGTACCTTTAGACTCCCACCTTGATCCGTCACTGGAGCTCAGTACTTCCTTATCCAATTATCTTCTCAAATGTCACCCTTCCTCCTGTATAAGATGACTCTTCACTCACTTTTCCTTATCCCTGTTTTCTTCAAAGCACCTACCTGACAGTATATTTCTATGGTTATTAATTAGGCTTCTCTCCAACTAGATTATAAGCTCCAGGGGGGCAGGGATTTGTGCTGTTTACCTATATCCAGAACAGTGTAGAATGGTACCCAGCACATAGCATTACTCTATAAAAATTTATTGAATTAGTGAATGAATGAAAGCCAGTCCACAGAAAAGGTGAAGAATGATGCAGACACCAAAAGAAAAGCACAGATAAGAGACTAGGTGAAGGAGAGATGGAACCTTGACTTTGGATGAGTTTCTTTACAGTTGGTTATAATCCCTCATGAGACTAGCCTGCATTATATGCTCTTGCATATCACATTCCGTGAGATACATACATCTGCAACTTTCCAAAATAGATGCCCGTTTTTATTTAAACTGGTTTCCATTAATTTAAGTGTCTTATAAACAAAGATCCCTGTGAAAAACAACTGGAAAAATAGGTGTAGGGCAGACAGTGACAATGGAGTTCAGACCTGGGTTGGCTGTGGAAGCTTCGGGGCAAGGTTGATATAATCAGAACTAGGCTTTGGGAAGACTTATTTTTTTTTATTATTATTTTTTTTGAGACAGGGTCTCACTCTGTCACCCAAGCTGGAGTATAGTGGTGCGATTTCGGTTCACTGCAGCCACAACCACCCAGGCTCAGGTGATCCCACCACCTCAGCCTCCCAGGTAACTGAGACCACAGGCACGTGCCACCATGCTCAGCTAATTTTTTTTTTTTTTTAAGAGATGGAGTTTTGCCATGTTGCCCAGACTGGTCTGTAACTCCTGAGCATAAGCAATCCACCTGCCTCAGCCTACCAAAGTGTTGGAAATATAGGCATGAGCCATTGTGCCCATCCAGGAAGATTTATTACAGCAGCATTCATCAATCCAACTTTCATTCAACTAACAGTTATTGAGAAACTTTTATGTATTATCCTAAGTGCTGTATATACATGGGTCCTTCCTTGCCTTCAAGGAAATAGGTAATAAAAAATACACTCACCAACAATATGTAATTATAAGCTTTGTTTATTAAAGAAAAAAAGACTTCAATATCAAGCTCAATTTGAAAGCTACTACAATTGTCCAGGCAAGAACTAACCTGAACCATTGTTTCAGGCTCTAGAGAGTGTCAGCAGCAGGTAAACAAGATGGAAATAAAGCAAAATACATTTGGAAGTGAAAAGGGAAGATTTTTGTGACTGATGGAAGTAAGAGGATCAGGATTTTAAACCTCAGAGACCTGAACAATGAAGGTACTTTAGTGCTTATACACATTTGGAAAAAGAGTAATTGACTTAAGAGATAAGAGTCATGTTTGGTCAAGTTATAGATATGTTGAGTTTTAGATACCCACTAGATAACTAGAGGTCCCATGAAGAAGATCTATATAGTAATAATAATATCGTTGATAACATGCTTAGGTGTGGGAGAAGTGATACTTGTCATTTCACATAATTTCACTGTAACTCAGCTTCACTGAACTGTTAACATTAGAGAACTTGAAAGGAGGATTAAAAAATAGTACTTGTGTAACCACTTTGCAAATTGCATACAAGTAAAGCCTTCTAAGAAATGGCACTAAATGATGCAGAAAAGTTAAGGAAAGTGAAGATCTGGCAAAGTCCTCTGGGTATTGCCATGAAGTGGTTGAGGACCAGGTAAAATATCATAAAGAAAGTAAAACTGATCTCTCCTTTCTAGGCTCAAAGGCCAAATCAGATGACAACAATATGACCCATTTACCTTTCTGAAAAATAAAGTTATAAAAATCAAATTGAAAAGAAATGTTTACAATGCTTATTGACAAACATTAATTTTTTTCACTTTGAATTCAAAGTCAAAAACATTATTCACTTTGGTATCCCTAGCACGTAGCACAGTGTCTCACACATGAGACACAGTTAATAAATTTGATTGAGTGAATGCATGAAGGAACGGCAATTCCTACCCTATTCTTTTCTGAATATCTCACTCATTCCTTTAGCCTTTACCTCTGATTGTAGTCACGCTTTCTAGCTCTGCAATTTTAATAACAAATTATAGTAGGTGGCCAGTTATGCTCACGGATGATGCAGGCCATCCAAGAACTATACATGCAATAAATGTTATACAAGGGTCAACTAGGAGTTATCTAAGATAACACATATCCTTTTAAAGTTCCTTTTTTATTTAAAAAAAGGCACAGAATTATCCTTCACTAAATAAAAATAGCATAGGAATCAAGCACATACAACTTTTATTTTTAAAAAGCACATACAATCTTTACTAAGCCGGATTGCTGATGCTGTAGGGTTTGATATATATTTTATTCCTCATAAACTGGAGGATGTTTCCCCCTGCAGGAAAACTCAGGTAACTTCATAACCTTTAACAGCTTCTGGAACACTCATTCTTGCCAGGGGAAGGAAAAAACAGTGGTCCCACCTCTTTTCAGGGCTTCTGAGAGAAGGCACCTTGGAAAAAGTCACCACTGAGGTGCATTCTTTGGCATAATTTCGGCAAATCTAGGTGAAGAGGACATACTCATTGTTTTCTCCTCCCCATAAACCTCAAACAAAAAGAAGCATGATGCATGAAATTTCCTCCTTCTGGTCTGCCCTTAGAATAGCTGTGGGTTCTCTGATTATACAGAGTTGCAGGGCAGGAATATCTAAGGAGGTGGTTAAGAAGGTAGGCTAGCTTGTGACTGTTTCCTAAAATGGGGTGACAACTTGAGGCTCATTTTATATCTGGGATTATTCTCTTATTGTGGAGTGCACATGATTATGTGTTCAATTTTTAACACTTTATTTGTTCATCCACCAGGGTTTTTTTTTCTGGTGGGTCATACATAATATGGTTTGCTGTGTCCCCACCCAAATCTCATCTTGAATTGTACCTCCCATAATTTCCAAGTGTCATGGGAGAAACTTGGTGGGAGGTAATTGAATCATGGGGGCAGGTTTTTCCTATACTGTTCTCATGATAGTGAATAAGTCTCACAAGATCTGATGGTTTTGTAAAGGGGAGATCCCCTGCACATACTCTCTTGCCTGCTGCAATGTAAGACATGTCTTTGCTCTTCCTTCCTCTTCCACCATGATTGTGAGGCCTCCCCAGCCACGTGGAACTGGGAGTCAATTAAACTCCTTTCCTTTATAAATTACCCAGTCTCGGGTATGTTTTTATTAGCAGCATGAGAACAGACTAATACAGTAAATTGGTACTGGGTAGTGGGGTACTGCTGTAAAGATACCCAAAATTGTGGAAGTGACTTTGGAACTGCGTAACAGGCAGAGGTTGAAACAGTTTGGACGGCTCAGAAGAAGAGAGGAAAATGTGGGAAAGTTTGGAACTTCCTAATGACTTGGAGGGCTCAGAAGACAGGAAGATGTGGGAAAGTTTGGAACTTCCTAGAGACTTATTGAATGGCTTTGACCCAAATGCTGATAATGAAATGGACAATAAAGTCTAGGCTGAGGTGGTCTCAGATGGAGATGAGGAACTTGTTGGGAACTGGAGCAAAGGTGACTCTTGCTACGTTTTAGCAAAGAGTCTGGTGGCATTTTGCCCCTATCCTAGAGATTTGGGGAGCTTTGAACTTGAGAGAGATGATTTAGAATATCTAGTGGAAGAAATTTCTAAGCAGCAAAGTGTTCAAGAGGTGACTTGGGTACTGTTAAAAAGCACTGAGTTTTATGTATTCACAAAGATATGGCTTGGAATTAGAACATATGTTTAAAAAGGAAGCAGAGCATAAAAGTTCAGAAAATGTACAGCCTGACTATGCAATAGGAAAGAAAAACCCACTTTCTGAGGAGAAATTCAAGCCAGCTGCAGAAATTTGCAAGAGTAATGAGGAGCCAAATGTTAATTGCCAAGACAATGAGGAAAATGTCTCTAGGGCATGTCAGAGGACTTCACAGCAGCCCCTTCCATCCCAAGTCAGGAGGCCTAGGAGGAAAAACTGGTTTCCTGGGCCAGGCCCAGGGCCTTGCTTCTTTGTGCAGTCTCGGGACTTGGTGTTCTGTGTCCCGTGGCTAAAAGGGGCCAATGTATACCTCAGGTCACTGCTTTACAGGGTGCAAGCCCCAAGACTTGGAAGCTTACACATGGTGTTGGGCCTGTGGGTGCACTGAAGTCAAAAATTGAGGTTTGGGAACCTCCACCTAGACTTCAGAGGATGTATGGCAACGCATGAATGTCCAGGCAGAGGTGGACTGCAGGGGCGGAACCCTCATGGAGAACCTCTGCTACGGCAGTGCATAAGGGAAATGTGGGGTTGCAGCCTCCTCACAGAGTCCGCATGAGGGCACTGCCTAGTGGAACTATGAGAAGAGGGCCACCATCCTCCAGACCCCAGAATGCAAGATCCACCAAAAGCTTGCACTGTGTAACTGGAAAAGCTGCAGACACTCAATGCCAGCCCGTGAAAGCAGCCAGGAAGGGGGCTGTACTGCAAAGCCACAGGGGTGGATCTGTCCAAGACCGTGGGAATCTACCTCTTGCATCAGTGTGACCTGGATGTGAGACATGGAGTTAAAGGAAATAATTTTAGAGCTTTAAGATTTGACTGCCCCCCTGGATTTTGGACTTGCATGGGACCTGTAGCCCCTTTGTTTTGGCCAATTTCTCCCATTGCGAACAGCTCTATTTACCTAATGCCTGTACCCCCATTGCATCTAGGAAGCACCTAACTTGCTTTTGATTTTACAGGCTCATAGATGGAAAGGACTTCCTTGACTCAGATAAGACTTTGGACTATGGACTTTTGAGTTAAGGCTGAAATGAGTTAAGACTTTGGGGAACTGTTGGGATGTCACGATTGGTTTTGAAATGTGAGGACATGAGATTTGGGAGAGACCAGGTGTGGAATTATATGGTTTGACTGTGTCCCCACCCAAATCTTATCTTGAATTGTAGTTCCCATAATTTCCACATGTCATGGGAGGGACCTGGTGGGACATAATGAATCATGGTGGTGGGTCATTATCATGCTGTTCTCATGATAGTGAATAAGTCTCATGAGATCTGATGGCTTTATAAAGGGGAGTTTCCCTGCACACACTCTCTTGCCTGCTATCATGTAAGATGCTTCTCATTTGACTTCCACCATGATTGTGCAGCCTCCCTAGCCATGTGGAACTGTGAGTAAATTAAACCTTTTCCTTTATAAATTATCCAGTCTCAGGTATATCTTTATTAGCAGCGTATAACACATTGCAAGGCAAGAATCTCATGGTATTTTCTAAATTTTTAAGCATTTTTTCTGATCTAATTGACACTTCACCTATATTGACCTACATAGGTTTCAATGTCTCAGCTTAATTCTCTGGAAAGGTGAAAATTTCAGATACTCAGTGACTGATGAACATAACCAGCAACTTAGTAGAGATGGTTTCCACATACCAAATATAGCAAGATATTGACTCCCAACCATGCCAGTCAAGCTTCAGCACAAGAAACAGAAAACATTCTAGATATTTCACACAGAAGGGGACTTAGCACAAGAAATTGGGTGCTGAAAAAATTGCTAGACAGAAACATAAGTAAGGAGCCCACCCATGGACAATTTGGATTTCAAGATCACACCCCCTTGCCCCCAGCTGCAATTTAATCAGGTAGCTGCTGGTGTTGCTGCTACCACAACTACTGCCACCACGAGTGCCTCACACCCACAAAGTTCATGACTAGACACTAGGAATTGCCATCTGCTACTGAAAACATGTATATTTAACTATTGTCACCAGCCAGCACAGCAATAGAAAGAGGGCCTCTGTCTCACCTTCAAATTCCAGGGGTCCTGTGAGTGCATCTTATTCACACTACCTGAATCAAACCCAGAACCACCACTGCAAAGGAATCTGGAAAATGTAGTTTTTAGCCTCTCTGCCCTTACAATACAGGAGGGAATAAAGAAGAGCATAAATAAAACTCATTGCCAATATAGCATACCCTGCATACCACCTAATTCTACTAGTAGGAAAACTAAAGCTTCTCCTGATTTCTTTTCTCATCCCCAATGTCTATAGCCAATCCCTTCCCAAACCTTTCAAACCCATCCTTTCCCCTCTACCTCAGTTGCTATGTCCTAGTTCAGGCTATCCATCTATCACCTGGATTACTAAAACAAGCTTCCTAACTGGAATCTCTTCCTCAAGACGTCACTCATTACTAACTTGCCTTCTGCAAGTCTTCCAGGACTTGTCTTGGCAACTAAAGTGACTTTCAGAAATTCAAATAATATTACTTCTTTTCTCTATTTAAGGCTGTTATCTGTTTCCCATGAACTACAGAACGAAGAACAAGCTCACAAATGTCCTCCTGACCTGATCTCTGCCTTCCTCTCCAGGCTTATGTTTGATTATCTCATTCTCACCTTCTTCTAATTCTGCAATTTAGGCTTCCTTCATTCCAAACTTCTTCTAATTCTCTGTAAGTGCTGTGCCATCTCACAATACCATGTTTGCATATACTATTTTTTCTAACTGAAATACCATGCCTCCTTCTCATCTTAGAAAACTACTTTTCCTACTTCACACAGCATATTATCAATAATTGTTTACTGGCACCCCAGATAGTTAATCACTTGTACTATTTCAGTGGCATGTTGAGGAATTTAAAAGGCCAGGATGTCAGTGGATGACAATTTGGTTTGCATTCCTCTCTTACGTGTTTTCTGAATATCGTTTTTAAGCATTACCTATTGTTGGAAAAGATTCTACAGAGCCCTTTTGGAACAGGTACATAGTTACATAATCAGAGCAGAGGTAATTTACCTGAACATTTGTGCTCTATAGGATTTCATGCAATCCTGATGTTCCCCTTGTTTATTGAGGACTGGATATTGATGCAGACACTTGTTCTCAGGAATATCCCTGTCACTGAGAAATACAGAAGCTTTGACTCAAGGGGACTTATATATTGATTGGTCAGTGCTGCACCCCATGAGAAGAGGGACAGTGCACTCTCATCATTGTATATCCAACACTGATTACCACTTGCAGGTAGTAGGCATAAATTAAATATCTGCTGAGTATGTGAATATAAGAGGTTTACAAATTGAACATATAAGATATTCAAGGATGAAACTTTTCAAATTAAGGGCAAGAGGTAACTTACAGCCAGCTGCTCCTATCTTTCTTGAGAATTGCTCCTATTGCTTATTTTAGAATGTTACCATCATAGTATAATAGGGGACAGTGAGGAATGTTTAAATGTGAAGGGAGGCTTAGCTTATATAAACAGTTTTTAAAATTTTTATGTTAGTCTAAAATATATTTTCACCTACACTTATGGCATACTGGGCAACAGAAGAATCATGAAATTTTCTATGATTCAGGACACAGAATAATCTTCTACAAGACCCTGGAATTCTAGTTCCAGTAATTTCTATCCAGATGCTTTTGACAATTTTCTGGCCTCACTATGTGTATTAGTCTGTTTTCACACTGTTGATAAAGACATACCCAAGACTGGGCAATTTACAAAAGAAAGAGGTTTACTGGGCTTACAGTTCCACATGGCTGGGGAGGCATCACAATCATGATAGAAGGGAAAAGGTACATCTCACATGGCAGCAGACAAGAGAAGAGTACTTGTGCAGGGAAACTCCTCTTTTTAAAACCATCACATCTCATAAGTCTCATAAGTCTTATTCACTATCATGAGAACAGCATTGCCCACACGATTCAATTACCTCCCACTGGGTCCTTCCCACAACACGTGGGAATTTGGGATGAGATTTGGGTGGGGACACAGCCAAACCATATCATTCCACCCCCAGCCCCTCTCAAATCTCATGTGCTCACATTTCAAAACCAATCATGCCTTCCCAACAGTCCCCCAAAGTCTTAACTCATTTTAGCCTTAACTCAAAAGTCCACAATCCAAAGTCTTATCTGAGAAAAGACAAGTCCCTTTGGTTTATGAGCCTGTAAAATCAAAAGCAATTTATTTACTTCCTGGATACAAGGGGGATACAGACATTGGGTAAATAGAGCCATTCCATATGGGAGAAATTGGCCAAAACAAAGTCGCCCCATGCAAATCCAAAATCCACAGGGGGCAGTCAAATCTTAAAGCTTCAAAATGATCTCCTTTGACTCCATGTCTCACATCCAGGCATGCTGATGCAAGAGGTGGGTTTCCATGTTCTTGTGCAGCTCCACCCCTGTGGCTTTGCAGGGTACGGCCTCCCTCCTGGCTGCCTTCGTGGGCTGGGGTTGAGCGTCTGTGGCTTTTCCAGGTGCACAATGACAGAGCAGGGGCACCATCATCTCAGACAAACACCGCCACTTTAAGTTCCAGCTCCCTTTCTAGCCTCATGCATTTCAAGAAAATCACTTCTGTTCTAACTACAAGCAGCCAGAAAGAGCAGACAGTAAAACACAAATAAGACAGCTTGAGCACAGAGGGAGGTGGGGGAAAATCTCTTGTGTAACTGCCAAACTTCACCCTCACACAATGGGTCCCAGTAAAACAGTGGGCCTTAATAAGCACATTCCTTTTCCTTCAGGTGCACTAAGATGAGGAAGCTAAAAGCAGACTCAGGGGTATACCTGCAACTGCAGAAAGATGTATGGGAATAGACACACAACTCTCCCTCCCAGATAAGCACAACAAAGAGACACAGAAGCAGTCCAAGCCTCTGATAAACAATCCCACCCTGAATCCTTAAAAACTCTTAGTCTGTAAGAGAGTGCGCCTCTGACCTAACTCAACCAGAAGCTCCTCTAAGGTTTGTTTTCTCTAAAATAAAAATGTCTTGACTGGTGAGCCACCTTTTGTGTTTCTTTCCACTTTCTTTAATTCTTACACATGGTGAAACTGTCAGTGGATCTACCATTCTGGGGTCTAGAGGATGGTGGTCCTCTTCTCACAGCTCCACTAGGTGGTGCTCCAGTAGGGACTCTGTGGGCTCCTACTCCACATTTCCCTTCTGCACTGCCCTAGCAGAGGTTCTCCATGAGGGCCCCAAACCTGCAGCAAACTTCTGCCTGGGCAACCAGACGTTTCCATACATTTGAAATTTAGGCAGAGGTATGCACACCCCAATTATTGACTTCTGTGCACTCTCAGGCTCAATACTACATGGAAGCTGCCAAAGCTTGGGGCTTGCACTCTCTGAAGCCATGTCCTGAGCTCTACGTTGGCCCCTTTCGGCCACAACTGGAGTGGCTAGAATGCAGGCACCAAGTCCCTAGGCTGCATACAGCAAGGGGACCCTGGGCTGGGGCCAAAAAACCACTTTTTCCTCCTAGGCCTTGGGCCTGTGATGGGAGGGACAGATGTGAAGACCTCTAACATGCCCTGAAACATTGCCTCATTGTCTTGGGGATTAACATTCGACTCCTCATTACTTATGCAAATTTCTGCAGCCAGCTTGAATTTCTCCTCAGAAAATGGGTTTTTCTTTTCTATTACATAGTCTGGCTACAAATTTTCCACATTTTTATGCTTTGCTTCCCTTATAAAACTGAATGCCTTTAACAGCACCCAAGTCACCTTTTAAATGCTTTGCTGCTTAGAAATTTCTTCTGGCAGATACCCTAAATCATCTCTCTCAAGTTCAAAGTTCCACAAATGTCTAGGATAGGGGCAAAATGCCACCAATCTCTTTGCTAAAATGTAGCAAGAGTCACTTTTGCTCCAGTTCCCAACAAGTTCTTCATCTCCATCAGAGACCACCTCAGCCTGGATTTCATTGTCCATATCATTATCAGCATTTTGGTCAAAGCCATTCAACAAATCTCTAGGAAGTTCCATACTTTCCCACATTTTTCTGTCTTCTTCTGAGTCCTCCAAACTGTTCCAGTCTCTGCCTGCTACCCAGTTCCAAAGTCACGTCCACATTTTTGGGTATCTTTTCAGCAGCACCCCACTCTATTAGTACCAATTTATTGCATTATTCAATTTTCACACTGCTGATAAAGACATAACCAAGAAAGAGTTTTATTGGACTTACACTTCCACGTGACTGGAGAAGCCTCACAATCATGGCAGAAGGTGAAAGGCATGTCTTACACGGTGACAGGCAAGAGAAGAGAGCTTGTGCAGGAAGACTTTCATTTTTAAAACCATCTGATCTCAACAGACTTTTTCATTATGAGAACAGCACGGGAAATACCCGTCCCCATGATTCAATTGCCTCCCACCAGGTTCCTCCCATAGCAAATGGGAATTCGAGATGAGATTTTGGTGGGGACACAGCCAAACCATATCACAATGTTACATTTTATTTGTTTATATGTTTATCTGCTTTCCAGTACTATGATTTCTTTGAGGTTGGGAACCATATTAATATGCATCTTTCCAGAAGTCAGCACATAGGATGTGTTCAATCAATGCTTGTTGAATTGAATGTAAACAATTTTCATCTTGGGTCATTAGCCCTCATGATAATCTTTCCAATCATCAAAAGCCCTCTGTATTGTTGAAATAATGAGGCAACTGTGACTTTCATGTGTGTTTTATCTATTAGAACTATTTTTTGGTCTAATAGCAGGCTTTGCAATCTTGGTCCTTGGTATAATTCTCTCTAACCTAATGTAACACCATGTCTTAGCTAAGCAGGAGCTGCGGCTAGATACTTGTGGAACATAAATTCAGGAGTGGATACGAATCACTAGTTCACAATGAAACTGAGAAATCACATATGAAGTTAACCTATGAACACTGTCATCATCAAGGTTCTGTTATACACAAAAAGTAGACGAGGCCAGACGCGGTAGAAAACATTTGTAATCCCAGCACTTTGGGAGGCTGAGGCAGGTGTATCACTTGAGGCCGGGAGTTCGAGACCATCATGGGAAACATCATGAGGACCACCCCCCAACAAAAAATACAAAAATTAGCCAGATGTGAGGCACATGCCTGTAATACCAACTACTCGGGTGGCTGAGGCACAAGAATTGCTTGAACCCAGGAGGTGGAGTTTGTAGTGAGCCGAGATTGCATCACTGCACTCCAGCTTCGGTGACAGAGCGAGACCCTGTCTCAGAAAAAAGCAAAAGATAAACAGAAAAAGGTAAGACAAACCAAGTTTGTCCAAACAGAGACTAGATTTCAGGAAAGAAAAGGGTGAAACCGGATAGATACTTCATCATAAAAAAAAAAAAGAATCTGGAAATACAATCTTCTCTTTGTAATTAATAATAATTTGTGGTGAAATACTTTGACAATATGAAAATATCCTGTTACTCATCAAAAATTCACTCACTAGTTTTAGTAAATGCTGATGATTCTTGTCTTGATCAGTTTTGCTATTTAGCTTGCAAAATGGTGATTTTTCCAAATCCACCATTTCTTTCAAATTGTGTGGCATTTTATTGTAAGGAAGAGTTTTTCTTTCTCCCTTGCTTATTATTTTTTATTTACATCAATATGGATATACAGATCCTTATTTTATGCAAGAAATTATACTTTATTATTATTATATTTTATGCTCAAAATGCCCCAGAATTGACCAAAGGGAGCCCTTTAAGCTAGCTCTAGTGTACTTTTAACATATCTCCATTTTTGAATGCTGTCTTACTTTCTAGCATAAAAGATACCCCAGGCTCATCTTGTATTTTTCTTCAGCCTAGACTGAGAATCATGCAGGAGTCCTGGTCTATTTTATTGAGAAATGGCATTTAGAAGCCACTATATGGGTGCAAGGTAAGCTTATGTCTACTTGAGTGTCATTGTCTCAGAGTCTTTTCAGCAGACACAGCTGGGAAATCTCATGGTTTAAAAAAAAAAACATATCTACACAACCATAGCTAGATTTCTATTAAAAATACAAGTTCATACTGATACTTCTACGTGAAATCAAACTCCACAGGGTTCATGCTAGCCTTCTCCCATTCCATATTAGTAACACCTTTCTCCAGAAGTGAACAGCCTGCCTCCCCACATCCCAACTTCTTCAATATATTTATTTATTTGCTCATTCTTATAAAACACAGAAATAGATTCAAAATCACTAACCATATCATTGTGTAAAATAAACCTAATAGCTTAATTTTATTTTTGTTAGCCATTGTCACTCAGGGTTTGAACAAATACAGACAAAATACTGGATTCAAAATTTACTTGGGATAACTCTTCCTCCCCACCCATTTAGAGTGGCTAAGTCCTTTTGAAATACAACCAGATTCCTTTTTCTATTTCTATTTTAGGAAGAAAATAGAATTTCTCAATTTAAAATTTGAAAATTTAAAAATTTTATTTCCTCAATTTAAATGGTTCCATAATTCAAAACCATACAAAAAGAATAGAGATTTGTCACCAGCCTTTCAGTAATTCCTTCCAACGCAATGCCACTCACCTCTTTTTAAAATAAAAATGAGTTACATACACATTTTCTATTTATTGCTTTATCTACAAAAAGTAGCATACATTATCTTCTCTTCCACTTTGCTTTTGCACTTAATGTATTCTGGAAACCACTCCATATTAGTTCACTGAGTTTTTTTCCTCATTCTTTACACTTGCCAAGCATTCCATGATGTAGATGTGCTAGTTTATTCAACCAATTTTCCATGTATGAACTTTTGGGTTGTTTGCCGTGTTTTGCAATGACAAATTATGCTGCAGTGAATACAGTTGTACATATCTACTTTTATTTTTGGTATACTGGTATACATTTGTAATTCCTTTATATTTTGTCCTTATAAATCACTTTGGTTTAGATCTGTCTCTTATATAGAGCATGGAGTTGGACCTTGTTTTGTGAGTCAATTTTAGGTAAGCCCATTCACAGCTGTCTCATTACTTTAGGATCTAATCACTACATGTATTGTTATATTTACCGTGTTTTCCCCCATGTGATGAGTTTTCTTTGTTCTTTTTGTTTTCTTTTAATATTTTAGGTTTGTGCTTTTAATCTAGTGTTACTTTTTTACTTGTACCTTTCATAAGACTTTTAGTTCCTGTTATATGACATTTTGCAATCTGGCTTGTCAATTTTTAATGGCACCATCTGACTGCTAACTATTATCTAAAAGCAAAGAGCTAATTACACCTTCCTGTTTTCCTTATTCTTCTCCTATTTTTAGTTGCATTATTTTTACTTTGTGACAACATATAACATTTATGTATTATATTCCCACCAGCCCCACCTAGGCTAAGCCATGGATCTACAAGTAAATATATTAAATGCTCACTATCATTGCTTTTGCTAGTTTCCCTAGAGCTCATCCTCTAGCAGATTCCTTAGGAAGCCACAAAGGATAATAGTCTCTGAGTTTTTACAAGATGTTTTGTTTGTCTGTTTGCTTCCACATTGCCAAATACCTGTTTGAGGAGATATTTTAGTTTCGATTGCTGTGAAAATGTTTTTTCCTATTTAATGTTTGGCTTTTGGAAGAAATTTTCAAAAGCTGAAATGTTTTCATATTTCTGTTTTCTTGTAATAGTGGCTTTATAAGAGGTTTGCTTTTGTATATTCATTCCACAGATAGAATTGGCAGTTTTGTGTTATTCATAAGATTCCAAGTTCAAGAATGCCCTCTGTTCTCAATGTAGTAAAGGGCAGATTTAACAATGGATTTTTTTTAATAGCAGAAAGAGGTTGTATGTCTCTTTTTTTATTGTGGTAAAAATATATAAAATTAAATTTATCATCTTAACCATTTTTAAATCTACAATTCAGTAGTGTTAAGTATATTAACATTGTTGTGTAACAGATTTCTAAAACTTTTTCCTCTTGTAACACTGAAACTCTTCACCTGCTAAACACTAGTTCCGCCTCCTCCCTGCCCTTGGCAACTATCTTTCTACTTTCCGTTTCTATGATTTTTACTGTTTTGGATACTTTATATGAGTAGAATCACACATTTTTTGTCCTGTGACTGGCTTATTTTTCTTAGCATAATGTCCTCAAGGACATCCATGTTGTAGTATGTGACAGAATTTCTTTCTTTTTGAAGGCTACATCATACTCCACTGTATGTATATGCCACATTTTCTTGATCCATTCATTTGTTCCTAGACATTTTTGCTTGCTTCCACTTCTTGGTAATTGTGAACAATCCTGCAATGAACATAAGTGTGCAAATATCTCTTCAACATGCTGGTTTCAGTTCTTTTGGATATCTACTCAGAAATGGAATTGCTGGATCATATAGTAATTCTATTTTTATTTCTTTCTTTTTTTTTTTTTTTTGGAGGCGGCGTCTCGCTGTGTTACCCAGGCTGGAGTACAGTGGCGCGATCTCGGCTCACTCCAAGCTCCACCTCCCAGGTTCACGCCATTCTCCTGCCTCAACTTCCCGAGCAGCTGGGACTACAGGCGCCCGCCACCACGCCTGGCTAATTTTTTGTATTTTTAGTAGAGACGGGTTTTCACCGTGTTAGCCCGGATGTTCTTGATCTCCTGACCTCGTGATCCGCCCCCCTCGGCCTCCCAAAGTATTGGGATTACAGGCGTGAGCCACCGCGCCCGGCTCTATTTTTATTTCTTTGAGGAAACTTCATACTGTTTTTCATAATGGCTGCACCATTTTACATTCCCACCCATAGTGCACCATGGTTCCAACTTCTGCATCCTCATCAACACACTTGTAATTTTCGGTTATTTTGATATTAGCCAGCCTGATGGCTGTGCAGTGATATCTCATTTTGGTTTCGATTTGCATTTCCCTAATTATTAGTGTTGAGCATCTTCTTATGTGCTCATTGAGTATTTGCATATCATCTTTGGAGAAACGTATATTCAAGTCCGTTGCCCATTTTATAATTGTGTTTTGTGTGTTGTGTAGAGTTGTAGAAGTTGCTTATATATCCTGGATATTAAACATTTATCAGATATATGACTTTCAATGGCTAATGGGTACAAGAAACCAGAAAGAATAAATAAGACTTACTATTTGATAGCACAACAGTGTGACTATAGTCAATAATAACTGAATTGTACATTTTAAAATAAAAGTGTAAATGGACTGTTTGTAACACAATGGATAAATGCCTGAGGGGATGGATACCCCATTCTTCATGATGTGATTATTACACATTGCATGCTTGCATCAAAATATGCATTCCATAAATATATACACCTGCTATGTACCCACAAAATATTTAAAAAACATATGATTTGCAGTTATTCTCCCATGTCATGGGTTGCCTTTTCACTCTGTTGTTTCCTTTGACATGCAAACATTTTACAATTTGATGTAGCCTCTTTTGTCTATTTTTATTTTGTTGCCTGTGTTCTTGGTATCATATCCAAGAAGTTATTGCCAAATCCAACATCCTGAAGCTTTTCTCCTACGTTTTCTTCTAGGAGTTTTATAGCTATAAGGTTTACATTTAGGTCTTTCAACCATTTTAATTTTGTATATGGTGTAAAGATTCAACTTCATCACTCTTTCGCATGTGGATATCCAGTTTTCTCAACACCATTTGTTGAAACGGCTGTTCTTTCCCATTGTGTTCTTTCTTGTTGAAAAGGCTGTTCTTTCCCATTTTCACATTTTTTGTGGAAAGTAGTTTGACCATACATGTAAGAGTTTATTTCTGGGTTCTATATTCTGTTCTATTGGACTAAACAGCTATCTTTATGCCACTACCACACCATCTTAATTGCTGTTGCTTTGTAATCTGTTTTGAAATCAGGCCACTTGAGGCCTCCAATTTGTTCTTTTTTAAGATTGTTTGGCTATTTGGAGTCTCTTTGGATTCTGTATTAATTTTGGGATTTTTTTTTTCTATTCATGTAAAAAATATCATTGGGATTCTGATAGAGATTGCAATGAACCTGTAGATCACTTTGGGTGGTATGGCCATTTTAACAATATTAAGTCATATTAGTAACAATATTTAATAATATGGCCATGCACAGTGGCTTATGCCTATAATCCCAGCACTTTGGGAGGCTGAGGTGGGTGGATTACAAGGTCAATAGTTCAAGACCAGCCTGACCAACATGGTGAAACTCCCCATCACTACTATGAGGCATGGTGGTAGATGCCTGTAATCCCAGCTACTCTGAAGGCTGAGACAGGAGAACCACTTGAACCCAGAAGGCGGAGGTTGCAGTGAGCCAAAATCAAGCCTCTGCACTCCAGCCTGGGCAAAAGAGCTAGACTCTGTCTCAAAAACAACAGCAGCAGCAACAACAACAACAACAAACAATATTAAGCCTTTCAATCCACAAGCATGGGATGTTTTTCCATTTGTACTTTCTTTGATTTATTTTAGTAATGTTTTGTAGTTTTCAGTGCACAAGTCTTTCACCTCCTTGATTGTTTATTCCTAAGCATTGTATTCTATTTGATGCTTTAGCAGATGAAATTATTTTCTTAATTTCTTTTTCATATTGGTCATTGTTACTTTATGAAAACCTACAGATTTTGTGTTGATTTTGTATTCCAAAACTTTACTATAGTTGTTTATTGTCACAGTTTTTTTTGTGTGTGTGGAATCTTTAGTGTTTTTGACATATAAAATCATGTCATCTGCCAAAAGAGTTAATTATACTTTGTCTTTCTAACTTGGATGCCTTTTAAATTTTTTCTTGCTTAATTGTTCAGACCAGAACTTCCAGTACCATGTTAAACAGTTGCTGTGAGAGTGGACATCCTTGCTTTGTTCCTGAACTTAGAGAAAAAGCTTTCAGATTTTCATTGTTGAGTGTGATGTTAGTTGTGGACTTTTCATATATGGTTTTTATTATGTTGCGGTAGTTTCCTACTTCGTTGATTGTTTTCTTTTTTCATGAAAAGATGATGAATTTTGTCAAATAAGCCATCCTTGCATTCCAGATATAATTCCTTCTTGGTCATATGTGGGAGTTCAGTCAGGCTGGTGGGAAAAATTTTAAGATGAAGTTATAGGATATAGACATAAAGCTTCTTGGAAGGCTGGAAGGTTTTACAAAAGTCTCAGGATAGGGTTATGGCTGAAAGCAGCCTAATCCTTACCTTGAGTTAATAGCCTGGGCTGCAGATACAAACAAATGTAGAGTAGTTCATCTGAATAGCTTGTTTACTCATGTGGTCCTAAAATCAACCTTTGATCATTCACAGGCAGAATGGCACTCTCCAGGGTGGGGGTGACCAGGTTAATTACCACAGGTGTGTTCACTCAAAGCCTTTGTCAATTAAATCTGTACTAAATAAATGTAAGCTTTGCCGACTTGGAGGGGCTGCAAACTCTCTTCAGCCCCTAGTGCTGGCAGCCCCCTGGCCCACTCTTTCACTGAATATCAGTGTCTGAGTACGTGTCTCATCTGTTGTGCAGCTGGGGTGTGCAGGACAGACCCCCACAAGTGGGAGCTCAGGGGGGATTGTTCAGGCTTGGGTTTCATCTGGGACAATAATTATCAGTTCAACAGAAGCAGTATACAAAAGTATTGAAACATCTGCTTAAAGCTAGTGGAGCCTCGATTTCGCAGGCTCAATTAAGGGACCTAATGCAAACTGTTGAATCCCATAACCCGTGGTTCCCCAAAGAAAGCACACTAGACATAGAGCTCTGGGAACAAGTGGGGAGAAATCTTAAACAACATCATGTGCAAGGGCAACGGGTCCCAGTATCTTCTTTAATGCTATGGGCTTTAGTTAGGGTGGCCCTGACTCCGTTATACACCAAAGAGCCTAAAATGGGGAAGGAGGAGGAACTGTCACCTGCCTTACCACCTCCTTTTCCCTCAGCCCCCCATCACTGGACCAAAATAACAAAGAGGAAACAGAGGTCTTGCCTGAACCCCCTCCTCCAATGAATTGGGAAAAAGGCAAGGGATATGCTACAGCTATAAGACACTGTCTTAAGCAAGCAGCATTGGAAGTGGAGCTCTTAGCCTGCCTGGTAATGCTAGATTGACAAGGCAATCAGGTATATAAACTCATTTATTTTAACACTTATAAAAAGATAAGAAAAGTCATTAGAGGCTGGAGCTGCATGGCCGAGCAAGCGGTAGGTAGAAGGAAAGGCTCAGCAGTGGGTAAGCTCACAAACCCAAAGCCGGCAATTGCTCCCAAGAGCTCAGCCTGCACAGTGGCGGTGGCCACCGGAAGCCAGGCCCAGAGTGCAGGAGCTGGCCTGCTAGGGAGGGGTAGAAGGCATGCGTGGGAATGTCTGCCAGCCAGTAGCAGCCTACTGGTGGCAGGGGTAGGGAGCAACACAGAAAAAAAAACAGCATAAACAAAAAGCAGCGACTAGGTGGGCACAACACAGCCACCACCCTGGGACCCGCCTGCTTAGCTCTCCAGTTCCACAGGCAGCCCAGGGCAAAATTTCATGTGTTCCTTGTATACAAGTGACATCCCAGATTATAATTCTCTGCTAAGATCTAAGTAAAATTTAAGAATTTAAAAGACCTAATAATGGCCACTATTGTTATTTGTCTTCTACCCTTAACATAACTCTCTCCAAATCCAATTTAAATAAAATAATAACCTCTAAAGGGACAGAAATTACAAAGGGCCCATAAATTTGTTAAGGAGCAATTAAAAGCTACCCATATAGAATGATGCAATCAGTTGCTAGGTTATGATCCTGATATCATCAGGATTCCTTTAAGTAAAAAGCAATTCGAAGCATTATTGCCCTTATCGATGGATCTGCAAATAGCACTCTCTGATTACGCAGGACAAATAGAGCATGTACTTCCTGCTGATAAACTCCTTCATTTCTTATCTCATAGTCCTGTGATCTTGCTACAAAAATAGTTCACTCCCCCATACCTAATGCTTTAACACTGTTTACTGATGGTTCTGGTAAACATGGAAAGGCAGCAGTCTGGTGGAGACCACATAATTCACTCACTTGATCTAGGTTTACTAGCACTCAAAAAGCTGAAATTTGGGCCTTAATATTGGCTTTGGAAACTGTTTCTGCTCAGCCCCTCAATATTGTTAGTGATTCTGCCTACTTTTTATTTCAGAACCTTGAGATAGCCCTAATTAAGTCCACTCTGGAGCCCACCTTGTGTGCTCTTTTTCTCTGACTTCAGCAATTGCTAGATCAATGTACACATCCTATTTTTATTATACCCCTTCAAGCCCACAGCTCACTGCCTGGCCCATTGGCTTATGGCAATGATCAAGCAGACCTTCAGGTTATGACATCACTGCTTGACCAAGCCACCCAATCACATCAATTTTCCCACCAAAATTGAAGAAACTTATCTAAACAATTTCAACTTACCCAGAGACTGGCTAAACTAATTATCCTACAATGCCTGGATTGCCAGCTCACAGGCATGTACCCTCCTTCAACAGGTGTTAACCCTAGAGGATTAGAACCTGATCAGTATGGCAAATAGATGTTACACACATCCCTGAATTTGTAAAACTAAGATATGTACATGTATCCGTTGATACAAACACTCATCTAATTAGTACCCATGCCTTACCTGGAGAGTCCACTCAATATGTCATTAAACATCTTCTTTTAACTTTTGCACTTATGGGACAGCCCACAAAAATTAAAACTGATAATTGTCCAGCTTATGCCAGTTCACAATTCCAACAATTTTGTCACACTTGGAACATCCAATATTCCATCAGCATCCCGTATAACCCCCAAGGACAGGCCATAGGAGAACGTACCCATTCAACCCTTAAAAATATGCTCAAAAAATAAAAAAGGGGGAGTGTGAGTAAAGACCCTGCAACACTATTGGCGCAAGTCTTATTTACCCTTAATTTTCTAAATTTAGATGATAAATTTCAATCAGCTGTAGAAAAGCACTTTGCTGAAACCTCTCAAGACATAAAACCTGCAGTTTTATTGAAAGATGTAAACAGCAATGTACGGTGTGGTCCAAATGAACTGTTAACTTGGGGAAGAGGGTATGCTTGTGTCTACACCCCCTCAGGTCCTCTTTGGATTCCAGCATGACGCATCAAACCACACCATGGCATGGCTAGGAACCAAGCCGGTACCAGAAATGAAGGAACTGACCCTACAGGACCTGCATCCCCGGAGGATGCGGCTTCCTCAAACAACACAGGCCCCAGACATTATACTGAAGAAGACAAGTCAGAAGACTGAGCAAATCCTGCTCCGGGAACAGGCACCATTCACTCCAGATAATGTATTCCTTTTTTATTCTCTCCCTGTGCCTGCTACCTATACCTGCTACACTCAATTAAGCTCATCTTCTAAACCTGCCATTTTTCAGCCCTGTTATCTGGGCAGACACTTCCTTCCCAGCTTCTAACAATGAGACTGCTTGGCTGGAAGGGGTTAACTTATCCCCAGTGAGGTTCCTTAGTAACAGCACACATCAAACTGAAGCGCCAAGCAATGCTGCAGGTCGTTCCTTGATTGGAAAAGAATGTTGCTAATTTTACTCATGACTGTCTTATGTTATTTGCTAATTCTAGGATGCAATGCCAGAATAAGAGCAATGACTGCCTCGCCCCACAGACCTGTTGTTGCACATATCTGCATGCTTCAATCAACAGAACCTGATGCAAAAAAAAAACAGGGAAGAGGGAGATGTGGGAGTTCGGTCAAGCTGGTGGGAAAAATTTTAAGATGAAGTTATAGGATATAGACACAAACCTTCTTGGAAGGCTGGAAGGTTTTGCAAAAGTCTCAGGATAGGGTTATGGCTGAAAGCAGCCTAATCCTTACCTAGAGTTAATAGCTTGGGGTGCAGATACAAAGGAATGTAGAGTAGTTCATCTAAATAGCTTGTTTACTCATGTGGTCCTAAAATCAACCTTTGATCATTCACAGGCAGAATGGCCCTCTCCTGGGTGGGGGCGACCAGGTTAATTACCCACAGGTGTGTTCACTCAAAGCCTTTGTCAATTAAATCTGTAGTAAATAAATGGTTGCCAGCTTGGAGGGGCTGCAAACTCTCTTTGGCTGCCAGTGCTGGCAGCCCCCTGGCCCACTCTTTCACTGAACATTGGTGTCTGAGTACGTATCTCATCCGTTATGCAGCTGGGGTCTGCAGGACAGATCCCTGCAGTCATGGTGTATGATCCTTTTAATGTGCTGTTGAATTTACTTTGCTAGTATTTTGTTTACAAATTTTGCATCAGTATCCATCAAGGATATTGTACTGTAGTTTTCTTGGTGTCTTTTGATGGTTTTGGTACAAGGGTAACGTTGGCCTCATAAAATTAGTTTGGATTCCCTCCTCTTTAATTCTTCCAGATAATCTGAGGATTGATGTTAATTATTTTTCTTTACAACTTCTTCTTCTTTTTTTTTTTTTTTTGAGACGCAGTCTTGCTGTGTCACCCAGGCTGGAGTGCAGTGGTGCGATCTTGGCTCACTGCAAGTTCTGCCTCCCGGGTTCATGCCATTCTCCTGCCTCAGCCTCCCAAGTAGCTGGGACTACAGTTGCCCACCACCACGCCCAGCCAATTTTTTGTATTTTTAGAAGAGACAAGGTTTCACCATGTTAATCAGGATGGTCTCGATCTCCTGATCTCCTGATCCGCCCACCTTGGCCTCCGAAAGTGCTGGGATTATAGGCGTGAGCCACCATGCCCGGCCTGTTTACAACTTTTTTAAGGCAGAGTATCACTCTGTCACCCAGGTTGGAGTACAGTGGCATGATCACAACTCACTGTAGCCTCAACCTATCAAGCTCAAGCTATCCTCCCACCTCAGCCTCCCAAGTAGCTAGGATCACAGGGACAGGTGCCACCACACCTGGCTAATTTTTAAATTATTTTTTTGTAGAGATGGAGGTCTCACCATATAGCTCAGGCTGCTCTCAAATTGCTTTGCTCAAGTGATCCTCCCACCTCAGACTCTCAAAGTTCTTGGATTGTAGACATGAGCCACCATGCCCAGCCCTAATTTTTCTTTAAATGTTTAATAGAATCCTTCAGTAAAGCCATCTGGTCCTGGGCTTTTCTTTTTGAGAGGTTTTTGATTACTGTCTCATTCTCCTTACTAGTTATAGGTCTGTTCAGATTTTTAATTTATTCATGACTCACTCTTGGTAGGTTTTGTTTCTATAAATTATCCATTTCTTCTAGTTTGGCCAGTTTGTTAGTGTGTAATTGTTTATAGCAGTTAGTCTTTTGTAATTATTTTTATTTATGTGACATCTGTTGTAGTTTTCCCTCGTTTATTTCTAATTTTAGATAATTGAGTCCCCTTTTTTTCTTAGTCTAGTTACCGGTTTGTCAATTTTCTTGATCTTTCCAAAAACTAAGTCTTGGTTTAACTGATTTGTTTTTTCTTTTCTATCCTCTATTTATTTCTACTTTAGTCTTTATTTTCTTCCTTTTGCTAGCCTTACGTTTTATTTATTTTTCTTGTTCTAGTTCCTGAGGTGTAAGGTTAAGTTGTTGATTTGAGATCCTTTTTTTACTATAAGCATTTACCACTATAAAGTTCCCTTTTAGTACTGATTTTGCTGCATCCCATAACTTTTGGTATGATTTGTTTCTGTTTGGCTCCAGATACTTTCTAAATCTTATGATTTCTTCTATGGCCCATTGGTTGCCTAAGGGTATATTGTTTAATATCCACATATTTGTGAATTTTCATGTTTTCCTTCTGCTATTGATTGCTAGTTTCCTTCTGTTGTGGTGTGAGAGGATACTTTGTATGATTTCAATATTCTTAAATCTGTTGACTTGTTTTATGGCCAAACATGTAGTCTATGTTGGAGAATGCTCCATCTGCATTTAAGAATGTGCATTCTACTGTTGTTGGGTAAAGTGTTCTGTATGTATCTTTTAGTTCCAATTGGTCTACAGTGTTCAAGTTTTCTGTTTCCTTGTTGCTTTTCTATCTGTTTTGTCTATAACTGAAAGTGGGGTATTGAAGTATCCTAAAACCATGTGTTGCTATCTATTTCTCTCTTCAGTTCTGTATTTTCCTCATATATTTGACAGCTTTAATGTCAGATGCATATGTGTTATTTTTATGATGAATTGACCCTTTTAGTCATATATATATGTTTTATATATAATATATATATTTTATATACATATATTATATATATGATTTTATATATATATATATAAAATCCATCTTTGCCTCTGACAGTTTTTTCTTAAAGTCTACATTTTCTAAGTATGGCCATCCCTACTCTTTTTGTATTCCTAATTACACGAAATATATGTTTCTACCATTTCACTTTTATCCTGTCATTTTCTTTTTGCTTCTTTGCTTTGGTAATCTCAAAAGTCCTGTCTTGAGAATTTGCTGATGCTTTCTTGTGATTGGTTAAGTCTGCTGTTGATTCCTTCTAGTGAATTTTTCAATTCAGCTATTGTATTTTTCAGCCCAAAAATTTGTTTGGTTCTTCTTCATAGTTTCTCTTTGTCAATATTTTCATTTTGTTTTTTATAGTTTTCCTGATTTCATTTAGTTGTCTATTTGTGCTTTTAATTCACTGAACATCCTTATAACGGTAATTTTTACTTCTTTGGTAATTAATATTTCTACATTTATTGAGGGTTGTTTTCTGGATATTTATTCATTTAAATGTGTCATGTTTCTTTGTATGTCTTGTTATTTTTTACTGGAATTTTGCCACTTGAAGAATCAGCCACCTCTCCCAAATTTTATGATCTAGTTTCATACAACGAGAACTTTCTTCACTCACTCCAGCTAGAAATTCTGAAGATATCTCAAGCCTTTTCTGAAGATGTGCCCTCTCTGGTCTCGTGTGTATAATCTCCTAATTGAAGAGATTTGCCAGTTTCTACCCTGATGTCTTTCTGCCATACTGTGGCAACCCTGGTGCTATAAAAAGCCTTAGTGCTGAAGCTCCATCTAATTTCTGTGGTACCGCAGACTTTGGTGTACTTTGTTTTTGGAGAGCACCCCCACCTACCCCGCCGCCCCACAACCCCTGCCCACAGGGTAGGCCATATTCCTTTCAGTGTTTGGATTCAAGCATGATAAATACTGGCCCCTCTGGTAAATCTGAAATTCAAAATGTTGGACCTACATTCTACCCTTTTCCCTCTCCAGGAAGAAAACAGGAGTTGTAAATTTCCTCCCAATTCAGCCTCACCATGCTGGGGGTAGGGGCTCTGGTGATAGTGCCACAAATCTTCTTATTGGGCTTCAATTTGGTCTACGTATTACTAAATCCACATTTCCGTAAGGGAAGAAAGGTCTAGGGATTCCTATTCTGCCATCTTGCTGATGTCACCCATGCTCTTTTGGTTCTCTTTGTCTTGCAGGATTCTGAATTTCCCCTTTGCTTTTTTCCCTTTCATCATCCACAAAAAAAGGGTACCTCCCAGTTCTTTTTAACTCTTTTCTCCCATAAGTAATGCCTTTCCAAAACTGCCATCTCAAGTCTACGTGATTTTAAGTCATTCTCCATTAGTCAGTACTTTTATATACCAGGGTATTCTTACAGTATTTTCATACCTGGGATGGACATTGTTAGCTCACCTTTAGGGCCTCTGCACTCTTGTTCTCTCTTGTGTAGTTTTCCAGCCCCTCAAAACACCCCTTCTTCTCCAAAGGCTTGTGGCAAGAGCTAAAAACATAATTGCTGGAACTTGATGTCCATATATATTTATTTTTATTAACAGGTAATTTGAAAAGTTGTAGTGTTCTGTGGTTATGCTGAAGGTGTGGATCATGTGTGGTTTCATTTGCTTTTTATTATTTTTCTATATAGTTTGTATAGGATGTGTAAAGAGATTTGTTTTTGGTGACTTCCATTATCCTTAGGATACTAGGTTCCAAAGATTTCTCCCTCAGCCAACTGATCTTGGGTGCGTTCCATGATATAACAGGCCAAGTGATGGTAGTATGGCAGGAAGAAGCTTCTAGACTGTCACCATATTCCACTTTGTAGCAGTGCTGTTGAACATGCTCAACTTTATGAATTTCGTGATCAAATAACACCCAATTCATGATGGGTATCCCATAGTCAGTACCTATTAGGGCTTAATAACTGGCTAAGAGTTATTTCTCAAAAGCAGACTAATTCTTTGCCTAAAAGAACACAGCTTTGCATCAAATCCTACAGGCCCTCTCTGTGATTTTCCTACCAGACTGAACGTGCTTCATATCTACAGACATCATAATTAGTGAAGGACATTTCAAGTATATTGGGACCCACTGAGTCAAAAGCAGTGAAGTTCACAGCTGTTTGCAGTGCTGTTTACCATCTGCAGAGCTTTTGCCCTGGGTTTCTACTCAAAATCCACCAACTTCTGGTCACTCAGTAAAGAGATCCAGTGCAGCTTTTCCTAATGTGTTTTTGTTCAGATTACTGTTCACTAGAGCTCTTCATTTTGTTTCTGAGAACAATTATGTGTCTTTTTACTTAAAATTATTTATCATTTATTAGTGTCTGCAAGTGAAAGAGATGTCACACTGTGATCCTATCCACTTCTCTCATAATTCTTTTTTTTTTTTGCATATCCTTCTGGAGTTCTGTATGCACCTATAAGCACATACAAATGTTGTTTTCCTCTTTACCAAAACATAGAACACTGTATTATACATACATTCCTAAATAAGCCTTGCTCTTTTTCACTTAACATCCTCTCTTCCTGTATCAAGAATAGTCATTCTCTTTTGTACAGCTTCATAGTATGTACTGATAAATGTATTCTTAACCAGTCCTCTAATGATGGATACCTTTACACATGTACCATTTCACATACACACATCCAAGTATATCCCAGAGTAGAATTGCTGGATCAAAATGTTTGTATGTAATTTTGGACAATAGCTGCCAAGTTGCTTCTTATATAAATACCAATTTTTAATCCCAATGACAATGTATGAGAATACTTATTTACAGGCTTGCCAAACGTTTATCAAACTATGAATTTCTGCCAATCTGAACTTTTAATCTGCCTTTCCTATAATGACATGAGCCACCTTTTTAATAGGTTTGGGAGCCATTTGTCATCTGCCTATTCAGACATTTCATCCATTTTTTTCATGGGTGGTTACTTTTTCTGATATCTAGAAATATTAGAGATTAGCCCTTTGTAAAACAACATGCAAGTATCGCTTTTTTTTTTTGAGACGGAGTCATTTATCGTCTTTTGACATACCTGTGTTACTTCCTTGCCATGCAGACTTTTTTAAAATTGAATTTAGCAACCTTTTCTATTATGGTTTCTACATTTTAAGTCATAAAGAAGTCTTTCCCTCTCTAACTATAAAACAAACTAGGGAAGAATGATAGGGTTAATTAAACTTTCTGCATACCTTCTGATCTTTCTGCTTACAAGGGATTTTAACCAGGACAGGTCCTAGCTCCATCATAATAGGTCATAAACTTCCACATGTCAGCCATGGTTCTTTGTGTAATGTTGCATACAAAATTTGAAGTCTGTCTTTAGAACGGTTTCCCTGACCAATGAGATACATCATATGGCTAAGACTTATCAATAGTTTGTGATCATCTAAGGAACCCTCATTTGGAGCAAATGCCTTATACAGCTTATTCTGCAAGAACTACAGCAGCAAATAATTAGTAGCTATGTTCACAACTCAAATAAAATTTTATTCAGTATAAACAAGATTAATTGCTCATCCAGAACATGACAGAAAGGGACAGTGTTTGACATGAATGTGCTAATTTCTATATTTCCAGTTAAAGAGAGTAGGGATGAAAAACTACAAAGTACTATGCTCTTCATATAACTATACCCATATAATACCACCCACCACCTGAATGTCTTCCATTTGCCAGGCGTTTTACCTATCTATACTATGACTACAGAAGTGAAAAGTACGGCTAGATTAATAACTGTGTCCAGGTTCAAACAGCTGTTACTTAATGGAGTGGGATTTGACTAACACAGCTTATATGCTTCTCATCCAATCACCATGGATCTCCAAATACAATGTGTGGTTGGTAAGCTCAATTGTCTTGATTTTTATTGAAAGTGAAAAAGCTATGTGGAAACTTGCAATTATTATGATGGGCTATTTCAAACATTTCTATGAAAAACTAAGTGTCTCTTTTTCTTCTGGCTTGGAGTCTCAGTAACCTCTGTATTCCAAAGGTATTACCACAATCACCAACAAAATACTCACTGTATGCTTGCTGAGTGATATGCACCTGTGAGCCCCACATATACCTGGCAATTAAAGAGCAAAATCTATGCAATTCAAAGTTGAGTAAGGAGAAAAATAGTATTTTTTAAGCACAGTGTCTATGCTCATTTAAATTAGAAAACCTAAGGCAGTAACTGGAAGGTAAGTATTGCATATGATTTATATGGAATGAACATTAAAGGTTGAAAAAACTGAGATTAATTTCCATATAACTTCTGCTTGAAACTCGAGAAAAAAATATTTGCAACTATTTCAAATTCTGTTTACAAATGCTGTCCCATATAGCTGCACAATGAGTTGATTAAAAAAGGTAATGTTTGCTATCTGAAAGATTTCTCAGACATCAATTATAAAAACTATTAGCAATCATTATAAATGTATACTAAAATATTTAAGTGAAAATGACTTGAATTCTTTAATTATTCATAACTGAAAGGCAGAAACTTCACTGGGTCTATTAACAAAGTATTTCTATTAGTCCCTGAAAATAACTTTTGTTACTATTTTACAAAACAATTTATATTTCTTCCAAAAAAAATGGGATACATGTGCAGAACATGCAGGTTACATAGATATACATATGTGATGGTTTGCTGCACCTATTGACCTGTCTGCTAAATTCCCTCCCCTCACCCCCAGCCCCAAAAAGGCCCTGGTGTGTGTTGTTTCCCTCTCTGTGACCATGTGTTCTCAATGTTCAGCTCCCACTTACGAACAAGAACATGTGGTGGTTTCCTGTTCCTGTGTTAGTCTGCTGAGGATGATGGCCTCCAGCCTCATCCATGTCCCTGCAAAGGACATGATCTCATTCCTTTTTATGGCTGCACAGTATTCCACGGTGTGTATGTACCACATTTTCTTTATCCAGTCTGTCATTAATGGACATTTGGATTGGTTTCATGTATTTGCTATTGTAAATAGTACTGCAATAAACATATGTGTGCATGTGTCTTTATAGAATGATTTATATTCTTTTGGGTATATAAAAACAACTTTCTTCAACATCCTTCACTTGAGTCTCATAAAAGCACTGAGCCTATGACTGTGTAAGTAGTAAGTGAAATTGTTCTCAAGAAAAGCTCAAAGTGATTGTGAGAACTAAAGGTTTTGTCATTCTAATATAAAGAAAACACATAATAGAAGCATCACATATTTAATGTCAAAAAATTTGAATTCAAGTACAAAAATTAACACATGATTTCAACATTAAAAACCCATAACACTTGTTATTAACAATACAAAGAATATCAAAAACACAAAGCATAACTATAAAATGCTTAAATACATTAACAACAAAATTATAATTTGTGTCTAACAAATAACAAAAATATCTATAGTTATTTTCAAGGACCACAATGGTAGACTGCTTTTTCTTTAGTACTGCACAAAATTTGTATCTTAATCTTTTTGTCTCATCATTTCTTTTTACATAATGGTTAGATGCTTCTGGTCATATAATTGTTCTAATCTCCAGTACAGATAGTGATCCTTGGTAATCAAATCTACTATAACCATTGTCTTCAAGTGCTTTAATATTTGTGAAATACTATTTAGTAAAATTATGCAAAAAAAAAAAAAAACATAAATGACTAGGTTCTATTGCCCACTCAGAAAGTAGAAGAAAATCCTAGAAGTTTAAAAAGAATAGTAGTTTGCTGTACCTTTATCAAGAGAAACCACTGAATAACTTTTTAAACTTTGCATTTTTATAAATTCTACAACTCCATGTTATTCTGAATTATAGCTGATGTTTAGTACTTTGGAATAAATACCTTTTTAAAACCAAATATGCAAACCCGATTCTAAAATAAAACAATATTTTAATTTGCAAGTTTTCATACTACAAATTTACACAAATTTTCATACTAATGTTAGTATTTTCTTCAGAAGAAGGAGGCCTGATTGGAGATACATAGCCGCTGTCCAACATGGCTGCCATTAGCAAGTGATATTGTTGGTGACAAAGGATAGCCTGGATAAGAATAAGGCCTTGAAGTATAAGGAAGCACGCTGGGAGTCCCAGAAGAGAGGGTAGCACTAACAGGGGAAAGACTATTTATTGAGCTGCGATGGAAATTGTAGTCTGTAAATAAATACATGAACAATTATGCTGTACATCTTTATGGACACAAATTTAATTTAAAGAGACAAAGCATTAAACAATAATCACATTTTAACATAATGTTCTAACACTGGAAATCTTGATGATACTATATTGCTGGTTAAAGATTATTTCAGCATTCACTGCACTGCAAATCCTGAGAGTTTTGTCAGTATTACCTTTCCTTTACTCACGCAATGTTTCAGAGATCTTACCAGAATGAATTCTTGGATATCTACTATTTCTTGGAGTTTTGATTATAGAAAAAGAGAACGTCTCATTTCTCTTGCTCTACAAAGAAGCTTCTTTTAAATTTGGTTCTAAGGGGTAGTCCATGAAGAAAAGATAAAAAACAGTGAATTCATATTTGCTTTTTTTTTTTCTTTGAAGCTGTATTAGGCATCAAACCAGCAGAAACATTCACCCCTGGACTGCAAAAACATTTGGTATAAACTAGCTGGCCAATATTTCATTATTTAAATACTAATATAAACACTTATCTAACTCAACATACTGATTTAACATTAAAAGTCCTACTGGTATGATAAAACAGTATAATGAATCACCTTTATTAAATAAACTTCAAAAAACCATTATCAACTTATAGTTACTTCAAAAAACCATTATCAACTTATAGTACAGAAAAATATCCAATTAAACCAAATTATTAAAAAATAACATTTGAAATACTGTTTCACAATAAACATTCATCTTATGCATCAATAATTTCCTGTTTCATTAACTGCAACATTTATATGTGTGTGTGTATATTACAGACCAAATTTTTAAATCCTGTACCTTCCAAAAACTCAACTATGTTCTTTAGTGTAAAATAAGCCAAGGGTGTGACAATGACTATAAAATCATTATTTAGAAACATTATGGTGTTTCTAGGAATGGAAGAAAAGAAATTAGGTCATCTAATGTACAGGTAAGGTTTTTTTCTATAATACTGTCCTGGTACTATAAATGATGCCTACACCATAGGTGCATTAACTTAATGTTGTCATGGGACTTAATGTTTAGCCAACAGGAATGAGATCAACTGCAGGAGAGTAAGCTCAAGCAACATCAGAAAGGACCTAGTTCAGGAAAAAAAAAAAAAAAAAAGGAAAAATGAAAATCAGTTAAATATAGGTTTAATTTCCAGCATTATAAAACTCTAATTAAACTAATTTTATAACCTTTTTATGAATGGTACCATAAGATCAACAAAGCGATCTGTTCCAGGAAGACATAAATACATTTAAAGTAACCAGTTCCAAATATTTTCACTATTTTGAAAATGAATGAGGAATTACTTTGATACCATTTACTTTTCTAACATCCAAAGTAGGATGACTCTACGTACCATACAATTTATTTATTTATTTATCTTTATTTATTTATTTGAGACAGAGTTTCACTCTTGTTGCCCAAGCTGGGGTGCAATGGTGCGGTCTCAGCTCACTGCAACCTCCACCTCCTGGGTTCAAGCAATTCTCTTGCCTCCACCTCCCAAGTAGCTGGGATTACAGGCACCCACCACCATACCCAGTTAATTTTTGTATTTTTAGTAGAGACGGGGTTTCACCATGTTGGCCGGGCTGGTCTTGAACTACTGACCTCAAGTGATCCACCCACCTCAGCCTCCCAAAGTGCCGGGATTACAGGTGTGAGCCAACGTGCCTCATGCTTTTTTTTTTTCTTTTTTTTTTTTTAAAAGGATCCACTTCACCTGAAGGGTTTGGTATTGAGTATAAACGGGACCATTACCGGCTCCATGTATTCCCAAGTAACTGCTTTATTTAAAAAAGTCTGATTCTTTCCTTCTGAAAATTATTATGCAAATACAGTCAATTTCTTATTAGCCATCTATCTGTAATACACCTAGCTCTTCAAATTTTAACAATGTGGTCATCAACAATACAATTTAGAAGAGCAGGCTACTGCAAACAGGGAAATGTAGTTTTCAAAGAGAAATCACTTTTGTTTTGAGTTTACATCCACTCAAGAGGTAATGCAGCCTATTTAAGAAATGTGGATACTGAAGGTATCTTCAGGTAATGCAGCCTATTCATGAATTGTGAACACAGAAGGTTATCTTCAGGGAAAGATTTCAGAAAGCAGATAGCCAAGCAGTTGGCTACTAGCATAATGCTTAGCTTATCTTCATTCCTGATGGTCCCCACTGTAAACCTTGAACTTAAGCCCTTAAATATACAATGATCATTTGTTGTACTGCATATTTTCAAGGAGACTAAATTAAATACAAAATTAAAAGTTGATGACTTTATTCATGTAGCATAAATCCAAAGGAAAAAAATCCTTCACAAATAACAAAGATTAGGAAACAAAAGGTTTCAGAAGTTTGTAAGATTTTACAAGCATTTCAAAAATAAAATTTTTTACTAAAATCACTAAGAATCTAAATATATTCAGGAAGACATCTAGCTGGTTGGAAAATACAATACAAACCAAACTTCAATGAATGAAATGTAAGCTGAAAATGCTTAGTGGGATGAACCTAAAAGTACAATCATGTTTTCCTCAGATCTATTGTAACATATAATTTTCGTATCATAGGAAATAAAAAGTAGAAATTCTAATTTTCAGAAAATATATTAATAAATTAGTTAACATTCCTAGCATATACTTATTTGCCCACCCCTAGTTTTTCTTCCCAATTAACATCCTTAGCTCTTCAATCCCACTGTTTCTTCCTCAGACTGGGATCTGTACTTCAGATCCCTTCTTAAGGAATGATACAGAGCCAATTTCAGAATATAAGTTTTACACTAAGTGTTATTCAACTGCCTTAACACTTGGAACACTGATATACAATTTATATAAAATAAAATGCATACATCCTATGTTTATTTCAATGAGTTTTGATAATTGTATAAATCTATGTAATTGATACTCAAAACAAGATATAAAACATATCCCCAATCCAGAAATTTCCTGTACCCTTTTCCAGCCAACAGACCTTCACTTGGAGGCAGCCACCTTCTGATTTCTATTTCAATAGATCAGTTTTGCCTGTTCTTAGACTTCATATAATATGCATTAAGTATTTTTATGTCTATCTTCTTTCTCTCAACATAATTTTAAGCACATTTGAATTAATTTTTACCAATAAAAAATTAGTTACAAAAAGAGGCGGCCTCTATACAAAATAAGGATGCTTTTTTTTTCCATTCACAAAGAGAATCCACTGACATATCTTGCCTTGCCAAGTCGAAACTCAAATAGCTTGTTTCGGTATAATTGTTCCAGAAAGATAATCCAGACAATCTCTCAATATAATTTCTAAGATTCGTTCACATTGTATCTTTCAGTAGTTTCTTCATTTTTATGGTTATTACTTCATTGTGTGAATATACTTCAATTTCATTATCTATTTGCCTAATGATGAATATCTGGGTTGTTTCTAAGTTTTATTATGAATAAAGCTGCTATGAACACTTTTATACAAATCTTTTGGTGGATATATGTTTTCATTTCTTTTGGGGCAATACCTGGGAATGGGATTGCTAGGTCATAGGACAGATGACCCATACTGCTTAAAGAGTTCTCTAGTATGACCATTTTATATTCACACCAGTAAGATATGAGACTTCGAGTTGCTCCACATTCTAACATTTGGTACTGCCAGCAATTTTAATCATACCCATTCCAACCTCTCATTTCAGCTCATGTAGCTCTGCATTCCCTTGTTTTATACGCTAAACTTTCACTTGAAGTAAAGGTTGTTTTGTGGAAAACAAAAAAAAAAAAGAGAACAACTGCTCTGACATAATGATTATAGAAAACCTGATCAAATGTTATCTTTAATTTCCTATTTATATATGGAATACACATATTTTCATAGAACAAATTTGATATATACAAAGAACAGCAAATAAGCTTAACCTTAAATGGCAATTCTAATTAAGCAGTAATGGCTAACAGGAATTCTAGATTCAGAAAGATTCTGGTGGTGTGTCTGGAATAAACAGGAAAGCGAGTGACAACTTATGCCACATCTGACACAGGAGCAAGAGTAGAGACTGGTAATACATATACCACATACTTGTCAGGCCTGTTTATGTGGTTACTATAATTTGGTCTACCACCTTTCTGTATTCAACACAAAGACAGTCTGTTAGTGAATAATACCAGTAGGTTTCTCAGTGAAAATGTGAACAGTGGATAGATATATTGCTTCAATGTATTTCTTGTTTTGTTTCTAATTCGTCTTACACATCTTGACCAAACACCACTAATTCTTAGCTGCTTTTCTGTCTTAAAGATGAGGAAAACCCTTAATAGAGACTTTAAAGTGAGATAAAAGTGTCTTCTCAAATTAATTTTGACTCCCTTTTTCTTTTGTTTCTGACTAGATACTCTTTAGACTAATTTTTCATTTAAAAAATATATTCCTCATAATTGGTTTCTTTCTTCTCTGTTAGCTATGTGAGTTCTACCACCATATCCATCCACTTTCTATCTTTAAGTGTGCAACTTAGTGATTTTTATCACATGTACAACTAGCACCACTATAAAATTCTAGAACATTTTCATCATCCTAAAAAGAAACTCTGTTATCTATTAGCAGTTACTCCCACTCTCTCTTCTCTCAGCCCCAGCAACTACTAGCCTTTGTATTTCTACAGACTTGCCTATTCTGGACTTTTTGTATAAATTTATGTGGTCTTTTGGAACTGACTTCATAACATAATGCTTTCAAGGCTCATACATGTTGTAGCATGTATCAGAACTTCATCCCTTTTAATGGCTGAATAATGTATCATCATATAGCTAGATTACACATTGTTTATCCATTCATCAGTTGATAGGTATTTGGGTTGTTTCAACCTTTTGGCTATTATTTATAATACTGCTAAGGAATAATATGTACAAATGTTTGTGTGAACATATGTTTTCAATTCTCTTTAGTAAGTAACTAGGAATGAAACTGCTGAGTCATACAGTAATTCCCAGTAAAACTTTTTGAGAAATTGCTCAACTGTTTTCCAAGGTAGCTAAGACTATACTATTTTACATTCCCACCAGTGTTAAGGATGAGACACCTGATTTTTTCATCTATGAAGTATGTTTATCAGACCTTTAATACATATTTTAAGCATTTCTTTAGATACCTATGAGATCTGTATTGAAATTTTTTTAAAAAAAATCCTCATTGTACCATTTTATTATTATTTCAATTTCTAACATTCAATAACCATAACTAACTATCTCAATAACTTACTTTCACTCAAACACTAAATTTTATCTGCAAAAAAAAACTTTTTTTTTTAAGCTATACTACTATACATTCCTAGAACATAAAATATGGCAGGGTTCAAACACAGAGATTAAAATATCATATAAGCATAAATAATACCTATCATATAAGCATAAATAATACCTATCATTTATTTTGTACTTTCTATTCTAGTATAGAAAATCAAGAGCTAAATAAGCAGAGGAAATAAAGAAATGAAATTTCTTTAAAATGAAATTTTAAATTATCTAAAGATTACGATTTAAACCTTCGAAAGCAAGGGGTTGAAATTCTAGAAAATGCAAACTAATCTAGAGTGGCTGCCTGAGAAAGAGAATGGAAGGAAGAATGGATTACAATGGGGCATCGGGCAACTTTTGGGGGTGAAAGAAATGTTTGTTTTCTTAATTGTGGTGTCATTTCATAGATGTAGACATAAATCAAAATGAACCAAATTGTACACTTTAAGTATGGGCATTTTGTTGTATTTTATTTATACCTCAATAAAGTCAGAAACATATTAAATAAAAACAAATAAAACTCAAGTGTGTCTTTGGGTTAGCTTCAGTATTTCCCAAACTACATCCCATACAATTAAAGTGCAAGAATTTCTTAAAACAAGCATCCTATAGCCAAATAATCTCAAGAAAAATTTAGAACAGATAGGCTTATACATTAAACAGGTTGCTACCTCAATTACCTAGGATGCTAGTATGCACTATGATTTTCCCAAGGAAGTATTTAGTATACAGTTTTTCCCAAACCTGTTTGACCTTAGAAGCAGTTATTTCACTGAATTTTGAATATCAGGGAAGAAATCTCAATGGAGTTAATACATAATGGGAAAACATTAAAAACAAAACAGAACAAAATCTTCAAATATATTAACCACAGCAATTAAAAACTCAAATGCCTTCACAGGCAAGGCAACACACAAACAAAAAGAACACAAAGAGGGTCAAGAATAAAAAAACAGATACTTATTTGTACTGAAAATAAGTCTAGTTGCTTTCCATTAAAAAAAGAAATACATCTAGATCTTCTAGTTTGCTACCTTTGTATTAAGAGATAATTATATCCAACTCCTTTTGGTGCTACTTTCTAAGCTATTTGGAAAGTTAGTACTAGAACAGCAGCTTATGAGAGAAAAAATTACAATCAGAGCTGCAGCAATCCAGGTAGGCTTCAGTATAGGTTAAAAAAAAAGTTGTAGCTCACTAAATAAACCATGTGGGCAAAAAAGAAAAGCCTTAGAAAATACAGCAATTCTTTTCAAGTTTTATTTCTATAAGTAAAATCAGTCCTTGTAATTCAAATTTTGAACTATAAAAAGTTGTAAGGACCTCTAAGACTGGTATCACTTATTTGAATTTTTATGCTAAGATTAAGATCTGTAAAAATAAAATTTTAAGTCTCAAGTATAACAAGCATTTCTCTTTGAGTCTGAGAACAGATTTTATTAATTGTAATGGCAATATTATTAAGTGATAAAAATAACCACACAAGATTAGTACAACTGAATCCACATAACAGACTTATAAGTACTATTATTATCCCCTTTGTCAATGAGGAAGTGAAGCACAAAAAGGTCAAATTAACTTACTCAAGGACACAGATGTAGTACATGAATTACATCCTAGAAAACATCATTCTTTTGCCTCTACATGTAAAAAAAGACTTTGTGAGGTAATAATCTTGACTCAAATAAGCTATCTTTTAACTTCCTACTAAAACTTATCTTCCTCAAGAAGTACCTTGTTGAATAAACTAAACACTAAATCTTAGTAAATACAACTTTTATCCCAAATTGTTTCAATAAGACTTGGGTTTAAGGTTGAAAAACAAGAGAGTCGTATTCTCAGATACTTTTGAGAAATACTTGGATAATCTATAAATAACACAGTAACTCCAAATATATCGAATTTATAATACTGTTTACCATCTTGGTGGTTCAAGGTATACTAGCATGTTAAATGTTTTGAGAAGACCTGAAAATACAGAAACCACTTTAACTTTTTAAAACATTTGCTTAATGAGTCTATAATTAACAAGGCTATTATAAAAAATACTTCATAAAGTTTCATTCTTTTCATTATAAAGAACAATTTGAAACTGGTTTTCTGACAATTAAATATATTACTTAATATTCCTAAGAGAGTTTTACCTAATAAACTCTTACCTGTTTATTTTCTCCAAATTCTTCTACACAGGTCCAGGCTGAAGAGATTGTGTTCCCTGTCTGTAAGCAGTGAAGACAGAAAATAATTGAGTCTTTAGATTGATGTTATCCCTATCTTGGAAGTGCATGGAATCCTTGGTAACTTTAGTTAAAAACCTTTTGATCAGTAAATAAAAAAACAAATTTAGAGAAAAAGAAGTAAGGGGCAAATAGTTATTTCTGGAGTTCTATAAAGATGAACAAAGAGAAGAGTATTTTGATATTTGAATGAAAATTATGATTAATACATTATCAGAAAAAAATTTATCTTTCTAAACAAATTATCGTTTATCTTTCTAAATATTACTACCCTGCTAAGATAAAGAAGAGACTCTAAAAACAAATGAGATCACCCAATTTCTGATAAGCAGAAAGCCAAAGAATCTAAGTAAATTTGGGAAATAGAAATGTTGTATAAGGTGTAGTTATTTTACATATGAAACACCATTTCCTTGCTGTCTTAAAAAAGATAGATGGCCAAAATAATACTAAACTTAAATCTTTCTTCCCAACAGCTAAATTTTATCTACTTGAAATCTAATTTAGTCATATATAGTACAACTGTGGGCATCCATCTATTTTAGTGGTTACCTCTTCATATGCCTTAAAGCTTTCTGTTATGGATGTATATCCAAATCTATGCTAAGAAATTGTGTATAAAAGTATAAACAAATGAAAAATTTCTGATAACCTATAGAAAACTAGATATAAAAATAACCATCTAAAGATTATAATTCAGTATAAAAATAATCACAATATCTTCTGTTTTTACATGATGAACTAGGTAACACTAATCAACCCTCTTGGTAAGAACTAGAAAATGTAAGAAATTATTAAAAACAAAAACATTTGTTTCAAATCACTGAGAACCAAGACAGTGACGAATTATGGGGCTGTGATCTCAGACAAGAAGAAAACCCAAACGTATGTGCACCTCTTTGGGAGGTGCATTTCCTCTGGAAGGCTTGGCCAATTCCCAAAAGCTCCCTCTTGGGAATTAACAGAAGGTGCCAAGAGACAAATGAAGCTAGGAAGACAAAAACTAGAACTAAAGAGCTACTAACAAGGAATGACTGGAACTGAGTAAAAATGGACCAGAAACAGACAAACTTTAACAGAGACTAAATTTAACTTCAATTCCTGCCTAGATTAAAGCAATCTGGGTTTGTCAGTCCTTTGGCCACCTTTCTGAAGCCAAAATAAATCTTCTATGAATAAATATAACATCGTGCTAGCCTTCAAATTGTCTCCACAATTTTTCATACACAGTATCTGGTATTGAATAAAAAATAACCAGTCATACAAGGAGGTAAAATTACTATCACCTAAAACCAACAGAAACAGCAGACAACAGTAACAGATCCACAGGGTATTTAGATCATTAAATTTCAGAACTGAGTATTGAAATAACAATGCCTAATACACTCAAGAAAATAAAAGACTAAAATTTTTGGAAGGAAGTAGAAATCACAAAAGAGACTCAAATTTAATTCTAGAACTGAGAAATGAATCTAAATGAATGGTTCTTAGGATAAACCTTTTAAATTTTTTACAGATAAAAAAATTACAAAACAGAAGACAGGTAAGAAAATATACAGACTGACATACAAAAGGATGGACAATACAGAAGAAATATAATCAATACACAGGTTACAGTAAAAAGGTTTAACATATGTGTAGCTGGATTACCATAAATAAGAGAGAAAATGAACAAATGCAGTATTTGAAAACACAATAACGCAGAACTTACTAATACATTAATCTAGACTTCAGAAGTGGTGAAAGTACCAAGCAAGATGAAAACTAAGAAGACTATACAAAAGTCAAATCCATAATAGTAAAACTTCTGAAAATCATAGATAAAAAGAAAATAGTAGAAGTAGCTGGGTACAGGGAATGATGGCACAATGTATGTTCAAAGGAGTAACAAGCTGATCAACAACAGATTTCCCAAGAGAAACAACAGAAGCTAAAGGACAGTGGAATCATAACTACTGCAAAGGGCTGAAGTAAAATAACTGCTGGCCTAGCAAAAATAACCTTTCAAATGGCAGGTGAACTAAGAATACATTCAGACAAATGAAAATAGAGATAATTTGTCATAAGCATATCCACACAAAAGAAAATATGAATCAGTATTCTTTAGGTAGAATAAATAAACAATTCTAGTGGAAGCTTAGAGATGGAAGAAACAGAGGGCAAAGGAAATGATAAATGTGTAAATCAATATCAATGTATATTAAGTATAAAAACGATTATAACTAGATGTTTTTATTATATTGGGCATTGTGGGGTTTTAAATGTATAAGGTTTAAATATATATATATAAGTACCAATGACACTACATAAATTGTAAAAGAAATGAAAGAAGTCAAAGTGTACTAAGTTCCTTGTATTATCTAGGATGTGATAAAATACTCATTAATATTAGACTTCAGTAAGTTAGGAATGCATGTTGGCATTTATAGAGTAAGGACTAAGAGATTAAAGACTGAATAACTAATACAGCTAAAGAAAAGAAAGTCAAAATAAACACTGTATAAAAAAAAGGCAAGAAATGAAAAAATAAAACAAGCAGAGAAAACAGAACGCAAATGGCAAAATGAGAGACTTAATCCCAAGCCTATCGGCAAGGACATTAAATGTATATTTAGAAATTAATACTGAAGATTCAAGAAGAAATCAAAACATAAAAAATATTTTTAAACAAATGATAATAAAAATAAAACATATCAAAATGTATGGAACACAAGGCCAGGCATGATGGATCACACCTGTAATCCCAGCACTTTGGGAGGCCAAGGCGGGCACATCACCTGAGGTCAGGAGTTTGAGACCAGCCTGGCCAACATGATGAAATCCCATCTCTACTAAAAATACAAAAATCAGCTGGGTGTGGTGTGCGCACCTGTAATCCCAGCTACTCGGGAGGCTGAGGCAAGAGAATTGCTTGAACCCAGGAGGCGGAGGTTGCAGTGAGCCGAGATCACGCCACTGCACTCCAGCCTGGGCGACAGTATGAGACTCAGCATCAAAAAAAAAAAAAAAAAAAGAAAGAGAAAAACCAAATGTATGGGATGCAGCTCTAACCATACTTAGGAGAGATATTTGTAACCTTAATAAAAGAGGGGCTAAAAACTCTAAGATGGCCTCTTAAATAATATTCCACATATTCAAAAACGATGTAACACCAATCTTATATAAATTCTTACAGAGAACAGTGAAATTTAAAACATTTCCCAACTATTTTTATGAGGAAAAGAATGAGTCAATCTCACTAATGAACACAGATGTAAAAATCCTAAAAAAAACAAATGAATTTTAGCAATATATAAAAAGTATAATGTATAATGTACCATGACCAAATTGAGTTTACTTCGGAAATAAGATTCATGTAACATTCAAATATCAATCAATGCAACTTATTGCATTAAAAGAATAAAAGACAAAAATGATGTAATTAACTAGATGCAAAAAAGTATTTGACAAAATTCATGACCCATTCATGATAAAAACTCATACAAAGCAGGAATAAAAGAGAGTATCTTAAGTGATAAACGACTTCTATAATAAAAGCTATAACACACATCATATCTTAGTGGAGAAATACTGAAAGTTTATAAGGATGGTTTTTATCATAATTTGTATTCAATGTTGAAAAAGTAGTTCTAGCCAGTGCAGTAAGGCAAGAGAAAAAAAAAAGATGTGTATAAAGGATGGAAAGGAAGAAAAAGCTCTTTACATTTAGTTGATAAAAGTGTATGCAGAAAAATTACTGTAGAGTCAAACTATTTGACACAAATAAGTAGTTTTACCCAATATATTAAAAAATAAATCGTTTTCACATAAAGCAGGAACAATTAGAAACTGAAATTAAGATAAGTTATTTTTTATGATGACATTATGAAAAACACTAGGTATAAGTCTGGAGAAAGATGTAGAAGATATTTAAACAGTAAACTACTGAGAGAGCAAATTTTTTAAAAGCCTAGGTAAATGAAGAGAGGTATCATGTTCATGGATCAGAAGACCCAATACTATAAAAATGTTATTGTTCCCAAACTGATCTACAGATTCAATTCCGTTCCAATCAAAATCCCATTAGGATTTTGGTCTTGGATATAAAGTTACAAACTGATTCTAAAATTCATATGGAAACTCAAGGGCTGAGAAAAGTCAAGATAATTGTGAAGAAGAAAAAATAAGTGAGAAAATATTATTTACAAAATATAAAGTTACAGAATTAAGACAATATGGTATTGGTGCAAAAACAAACAGATCAATGGAATAGAATGTTAATATCCAGAATAAGTCATATATGTGTGTGTATATTAGAAGGCAGTGTATATACACATACTTGATTTACATTAAGGTGGCACTGCAGAGTCATGGGAAAATGGCAAGTCTTCAAAAAATGGTGTTGGTTAAGTGAATATTCATATGAGCGGGGCGGACTCTGATACTTCGCATTGTCACTAAATTTAGGTATGATATGAAGTTTCTAAAAGATAATAAAGAAAATATTTCATGACCCTGTGGTGAGTAAAGGTTTTCTAAGCAGGATGCAAATGGCACAAGTAAGATTGATCAATTGAATCATATTAAAATTAAGAACTTCTATGTTTCAAAACATACCTGAATAAACAGGTAAGTCATAGAGTAGAACAAGATATTTTAAAAATATATTCAATAAAGGACTTCTATATTAAGTAATAAAATAAAAAACAGACAAACCAATAAAATGAAGGAGCAAGACTTGAACAAGAAAGATACTTCACCAATACAATAGCGTAATGCCCTATAATCCTCCTAAGATGATCAATATCGTAAGTTATCATCATATAAAAATTACAATCTCAGTAAGAAATATACACTAATCAGAATATCCAAAATGTAAAAGACTGATATCTAAGTGTTGGCAAGAATGTGAAACAACTGGAACTCCCATTTACTGCTAGTAAAGTGTAAATCAGTATACTTACTTTGGAAAATTATTTGGCCCTATTTACTACAGTTTAAAAAACATGACCCACCACTTTCACTCCTATATATTCAACAGGAATGTGTGCAAATGAGCACCAAAAACACTATGTTCAAGAATCTTTAGAGTGTCATTATTCAAACAGCCCCAAACTGATAGTTCTTTATATTTTCATCAACAAAGACAGCAAGTTATATACAACACTCCGATGAAATACAGGTATCAATGACAGCAAATGAACAGTACTGCTACCTGAAATAGTATGAATCAATCCACAAACATAATGTTAAAAGAAGCCAGACAAGATGACATAAAATGTTACATAAGTTTCAAAAATACATAGAATAAGTCAGAGGAGTGGCCTCCTTTGAGCAGGAAGGAAAGTAATGTCTGGGGAAAATACAAAAGAGTCTTTTGGAGTGTTGGTATTTTATGTCTTTACCTCGGTGGTGAGTTATACCGACATAGTCCCTCATGGTAATTTACTGAATTTACACTCATTATTTGTGCACTTTTCTGTTTGTATGTAATGTTATAGCTTAAGGAGTTTTAAAAAAAAGGGGGGGAGGGGATAAAAACCTGCCAGTGATATATATAAAGGAGAAGTTGATAATGTATAATTATGATAAAATATAAAATCACTTTATAGTTACTACCAAAATAGAGCATATGTGATTCAGACTAATTTAAAAACTATAATGATTTTCAATACAGATGCTACATAGAAATATTATTAAATACAGAACAATTCTTGTCTTCATAATGGCCTTCACTATCTACCACCTGGAGTTTTAGAATTAGCTTTGTTAATCTTTGGTTTGAATGAAATCAAATTTAACAGGAAAAATGCTGGGATTTAAATTACCAATGTATAAGAATTAAATTTCTGTCGGCATATAGAAGAGATGGTGATCATTCTCACAACAAAAGCAAAAACTTAGCAGCAGAGTCTCAATTTCCTGTCAAATGCAAGGTTGCTACTTACTGGTACTTTCACCCAATTTAATTTACCATCTTATTTGTGTCATTCCTTTTTAAAAAGCAACAACTGTTAATGAATATATTCTGAGAAATTATTTCAAAAGTGATTATTTAGTAGGCAAGACAATAAGAAAGAGACTAGGGGAAAGAAAAGGCATGTCAAAAAGTGGAGAATAAGAATAGGATAAATTAAACTTCAGAGACCAGAGTCAGGATCTTTACCACCTCTCTGTAAAATGGGTATCATTAAATGTTTTATATTTAGTTTTCTATAAGTTATGCAGGAATAAGGGCCAAAATAAGGGAAAACTAAGTAAAAATCTAAGTAGGCTCCTAATTTTCATTATTTTCAACAAAACATAACATTGTAGATAGATGACTTGTTCTACAAAGATGTGATGAAGTTTAAAATGTCACTGAAACTAATTACAAAAGCATATTCTATATCTTTGAAGATTTTACTGGTCTTTAGTTTGACAGAAAATTCCATATAAATTTTAAAGTAAATGATATGAAAGATAAAAATTATTTTCAGACTCTCAGATATGTCATACTATTTCTTCTTTTGAAGACAGAAAATAACTGAGTGCACAGGATTCCGGTGTATTCCAAATAAGCCTGCTATATTAGCACCTGGAATTTTCAAGCTTTCTTCCTATTTTTAGGAAACTAAACTGAAAGGAACACCACCATCTTCTCAGTCTACACCTGTGTAGAAGAATATAAAAGTATAATGCTAGTAATAAACTAAGATTAGAAATAACATACAATAAGCGACTGACATTTCCTATTTGTGAAGCCTTGATCAAACGTTATAGATTATGCTAGATATAACTGTGGATTACATAATGAATTTTAAAAGAAATTTAAAAATTGCACATAAATCATTATATTCTATACTGTATTTGGTTGATATAAACACAAAGGTTTTCTCAGAGGGTTTAAAAATAACAATTACAACCTTAATCTCCTATTCCACTATACAAATTTATATACATATATATAATATACACATATCCAATATAAAATCATCCATATGCCCCTGTCTATATTTCAGGGGTTTCTACTATTTTGAAACCTCCAACATTAGCATGTTAAAAATTATATACTGGTAATTTTTACTTTGGTGACATATACACAGATATTTCAGCCCATTAACCACCATTCATAATTTAACCATGCCTGTGTTTATACCTGTCAACTTCCTATCTCATATATTTCTTTCCCAATCCTTTCTTCTTTCTGCTCAAAGCACAGCCGAAATGTATCTTTCCTTGTAATCTTTATCTTTTAACTTTATAGCATGTAGATTGCTTTAAATTATTTGGAAAGCACCATATGCTGAGTACTAAAGGAGACAGTACTCACCCATATAATGCAGGGAATAACAACAAATCATACAGTCCACTGGCTTTATATACACTGATGGAAGAAAAATTTTGAGTAAATAAAAAATATAAAAATTATTGAGTAATATCATAAAGAAAAAGTCATTTTGGGTTACTATGTCCAATAACAGCTTAATATAAAAGTATATAAGGATAAGCAGAATATTCTAAGCACAGTGCACAGCAATGGGAAAGGCCTAGACCTACCAATGAGCATGGCAAATTCAGATGATCACAGCAGGAAATGTATGGCTACGGTTAGGTTAAGTGGGGCCAAACAGTACAGCATTCTGAACAGGAGAATGTGGAGTTCAGAGTATTTGATTATACTACAATAGCAAGCCATGATAGGTTCCTAAGGAAGTAACAATGAAAAAGCATAAACCTATTCGGACTGATAAATTATATGGCTAAACTATGTATTGGGATGTTTTGAATATAATCAGAGTAAAATGAGTACCAAGTAACAGGGGACCAGGAAATAGATACAAACAAACTTTGCCTGTTTGATGTTCTGTCTAGAATCTGGATGGGGGAAAGACATATATCATCTGCCACCTTGACACATGCCATTCATTGGCTGGCAATGCTGATCCTAGGGTAAATTTAAAAATCATGAAGCTACCTTGTAAACAAGATATGTTTACAAGATTTTTCTAACTCAGGATAACTCAGAATTCAACCAGATGTCTCAGGTCAACATTACAATGGAGTGGGGTCTGGTACATGGGCCTGTAGGTTTCCTAAAGCCAAAATAGTCTCTGGAAAAAAGGTAAGGCAGGACTGAAAGCCCATCTCATTGTATTTTAACTTACAGAAACATAATTTGCCAATAATATTTCACAAGTCCACTGTCTGTTACCAAATGTTTAATATTAGACAAAAACCAGTTTTTCATTGGAATCATGTGAATTTACAAAGGATGGCAGTTAAGAGCACAGCCTCTTATGCTAACTAGGATCTTGGGCAAATTATTTAACATACTGAAGCCTGTTTGTTAAAAAAAAAAAAAAAAAGTAAAGAAGTGTCAACATTAAAATCCTATCTACAACAGGCCAGGCGTGCTCATTCATGCCTGTAATCCTAGCACTTTGGGAGGAAGAGGCAGGCAGATCACTTGAGGTCAGGAATTAGTGACCAGCCTGGCCAACACAGGGAAACCCCGTCTCTACTAAAAATATGAAAATTAGCCAGGCATTGTAGTACATGCCTGTAATCCCAGCTACTCGGGAGGCTGAGGCAGGAGAATCACTTGAACCCGGGAGGCGGATGTTGCAATGAGCCAAGATCGCACCACTGCACTCCAGCCTGGGTGACACAGCGAAACTCTGTCACACACACACACACACACACACACACACACAGACACACACACACACACATATCCTATCTACCACAAGGAACTGTGAGACTAATACATCATATAAAGGCATTTAGCACAAAATCTAACATGTAGTCTTAACTATTATTATTTCTAATATTTATATTACATATGATTGGAAACTGGTATCTTGGATTTGTTTTCTGAATAATTATTCTTCACTATTTACATGGTACTTAGTATATATAAAAGGGAATGTTCTGGGCCCTTTATAATTTTAACTCATTTAATACATGTAATTACCCTATGAGATACTGTTATCATCATTCCTATTTTACAAATGATGAAACTGAAGGACAGAGAAGTTAAGTAACTTTCCCAAGTAAGTAATGAAGCTAGAATGTGAACCCAGGAAATCTGGCTCGAAATGCCATACTCTTTTTTCCTGTGTTGCCTATATGCTATGCCATAGTACTTAATTTCCTTTTCCTGAAATTCTTTCTAAAGTGCAATGTACCATTTCCTGACCCCAATACCAGTTTAGGTCAGGTCATCCAATTGTATGTTCTCATAACACCCCGTACTACTTCAGAGCATTTATCAGAACTCTAACTGAATATTGGTCTCAATAGAATGTAAGGTCTATGAAAGCAGCAACTGTGTCTAATTCACTACAGTGATCCTCATAACTTTACACAAAACAGCCTTAGGTAAGTATTTGTTGAAGGAACACATTTTAACAAGATTTAACAATCAGCCATCTGCCAGTTAATAAACTAAACATGAGAAGCCTAAAGGAATGAATAGTAAGCAAAAGGGATATTCTTACGAGAATAAAAATTCCCAAATCAAACTTTCTTAATCAGTTTGCAAAAAGTAAATTAAAAAGTAAATTTCTCAGAGGGCTTGAAAATGGCAAGGCCATTATATTCCAAGTGGTATTAGGGAACATAATTCTGAGTTACAATAGTCTAGTAAAGACTCTTTCCTTCCCCCATATATTTCATGGATTTAAAATAAATGTTAAAAAATTATTTTTGTTTGTTGTTTTGTACTGAGAGAATTTTTAGCAGCTGAAAGGCTTAGATAGTTCTGACTTATATTAAGCCATAATCTACCTCCTTAAAACTTTGCTCTTTTAGACTTAAGTCCACTTCCTAGAGCTCCAAAGATAAAGACTAAAGTCTTTTTTCCACGTGCGAGCACTTCAAACATTTGAAAACTGCAATCACATTTCCTCTGTATTAGTATTTACACACTAAACAGCTCCAAATATTTCAGTTGTTCACTGTCCTATTACATATTATGGCGTTTCCAAGCTCACCCAAGTTGTCAAGGTTGAATTAAATTGTGGTGCCCAAAAGCAACCAAAACATTCCAAATATAGTCTGAGTATAATAAAATTATTTAGCCTTGATACTATGTAACTTTCCTATTTTACCTTGAGTTATATTAATTTGAGACTCTCTAGAGTAGAAAGACTCTTATTCCAATTTTGACAAAATAACACAAGTTCTCACCCTTGGCTGGCTTTCATTTTTTCCCAATTTAATAATGAAATATAGAAACAGAGAAATATATACAATATAGATGTGTATGCCTTACATAATTAAAAAAATGAAAACATGTACTCACCACCCAGGTTTAGAAATAGGAAATTACCAGTACCTCAGAAGTCCCTTTGAATCCTTTCCAATTTCTCCCTCCAAGTAGTAACTTTTAAATGTTAGTAATTCCCTGGCATTTTTATGGTTTTACCTCATAATCATCTATCCCTAAACAACCTATTGTTTGGTTTTGCTTGGCTTTATTTTCCTAATCATAATTTCCAATTGTCTCAATTTCTCCAATTTAAAATCTGAATCCTTTTGTATTTTACATATTTTTAAGGAGCCACCTCAAATCTTTTGTGGAATGAGGCAGGAATGAAAGTGAACAACCTACCCTTACCAGTAAAAACCATGAAGAAAAAACAGAGGGCAGACTAATGTAATACTTAGGTAAGTGCACTGCATCAGTATGAAACAATGTCATCTCTGCAGGTTAAGAAATTGAGTGGAGGAGAAACTGAACATCTTTCCAACTTTTCCTAAGCTGGGTTTTGTATTGAATTTGTGTAAATTTCTAGAATCAATATACTATATATTTAAAGAGCATTCTAGGATAAACAAGTAAGCTAACTATATTCAGATTATTTCCTTTCCATTTTTCATGCCTCCTATCTAAATACTTGGGAGTTGATTATACAAGTTTTTGTCATAGAAAACTCATTATAAATAATTTCAGAATAAAAAAACTAAAATTAAAAATCATTACAGAAAAATTCTGATTAAATCTAAAGGCAATGAAATCATTCTCCAATATATCAATTCAAATGAGAGCATCTGATATCATCAAGCTGCTTTCCAAGGCCTCAGAGGATTGATGAAAACCCTGTCCATCCTTCTCCCAAGCCACATTAGCTAATGTAGCAACACCCTGCCTGGAGCATAAATCACAATAAAAAAATACATAAATAAGAAAATAAAATGTAAAGATATAAAAAAATCAATAAAAGTGAGTTTTAGAACACTAGTATATTAGTGAGAAATAGAAGAGTCACACATACATATATGTATTTCAATACAATAACTTAAAAATCTTAAATCTACTAAGTAAAATAGGGAAAATATTAAGAAATAGAGAAAATCATTACTATCTCATTTGTAAATCCCTCTCCGAAACTAAGTGAGTGCCTTCACAGTGAAAGCAATCATATTTTTGCTTAGTATTGCCTCTTTCCCTTTAATTCTTAAGTGAAAAGAAATAATGTTTCAATGTTCTGGTATAATCACTATTTCTATACTTGATACACACACCTAAGTTCACACCAAGGAATCCCTTAAGGGATTCTTATTCTCTCAAGGAAACACATGTACACACATATATACAGGTGAAATGCCTTTAAATTAACAAGCATTTCACTGCTTGAATTATTTATAGTGCAGAACAGAATCTTAACCTGTTTTCCAAAGATTGATAATGGCTCACCTGGAACCTTATAACTTCTGTGCCCCAAATTATCCAATACTTTCATAAATTCGTAACTACAGATTTGGTCACCCTTGGACCAAAAATTAACTGGGCAGCAGCAGGAAAAAAAAAGCCGTCCACATACATGGCACATATGCTGCAAATTTTGTGGATATTCATTTACCCCATAATCTGGCCAGTAAACAAGCAGACTGGAACTATGTATTGTTGAAACAAAGTTAACAAGAAAAAAATTAAGTAAATGGGCTTCGGTCTTACAAAAATCCATATACAAAACAGGATTAAAGAAAAGTACAAAGAAAAAAAGTAACTCTAATAAAAACATCCTTAGACTATATAATGGAAGGACAATCAAATTGCACAAAAGAAAAAGTAAAGCATAGGTCAACAAAGATTTATCTACTCTATAAAAAGGTGGAGTTTTATATCATGGTTTACATTTTATTTAAATAAGTGCCAATCCCTTGAATTTGTGTACAGAAATCAAGGTATACTGTTTAAACACACAAGAATAGTAACAAAGTACAAAAACCAAATTATCAGGCAATACAACTGTTTAAGAGATTGATGTTTTCTGATGATTGTACTCTTATATACTTTTTAATCCAAAGTTATAAACATAATTATAGTAGAGCTGATAATATTATTAGTGTAGTACAAAGATTATATTTACTGAATCAAAGCAATGTATAGGCAAACTAAATTTATTTAGTTACCCAAATTATTTTCTTAAAATATGAACTATTGTGTACATAAAATTTCATATGCAGGCCATTCTTATAGCTCAAATGTTACTTGCTATATATGAGACAAATAAGGACCCGCATGTCATTAATACATCTCTAACCAAATACTGTCACTTAAGGAGCATGAAAATCCAAGGAGTTATTAATATTCTGGTGATTTAAAGTTTCTAATTATTTGGGGATACTAAGGTTTTTAATTATTGTCCTTCTGTTTTGAAGCTTCACAGGAAAGTGAACCATTCTTGGAGGTAAGGTACTACCAGGTCTTGGAAAGAGGAAGAAATGCTCTGGGATTGATGATATATCAGATATTAACTAGTAAGGGCAGATACTATGTTTGATTTTACCTAAAAGGCCTGGAAGAAACACTGAATTTTAAAGTAGTTAAAAGCATAAAATAAATTCGCCATAGTGAAACCATCATTCTACATCTTCTGTCTCCTTATTCATGAGTCCATTCACTTAATTACACTGCTACAGCATAAAAAATTGTCTACTAAATATTAAACAGGAAGCAGAGATAAGGGCATGATAGGCTGAAGAAGACTAAGTAGAGCATTTCACAGAGATTTTTCTGATTCTAAAAAAAAAAGAAAGGTAAGACAAAGAGGAGCTACAAATCAACGTAACATTAAATTTCCTTTTAAAGCCACATTAAAAATACGTATTTAGGGACATCATGTGGCAAAATTATGAACTGCTACATTCAAAATATGTATTTAGGGACATCATGTGGCAAAATTATGAACTGCTACTAACATTTAATTGTGTGTATATTTAACATATACACACAATTGCTAATGGCATCTGACATAAAGGGAAATTTTTAAAACCATTTTTAAAAATATGAATTAAATAAGATTAGACATTAGATTAATACAGCAGTAGCTGCTATTAAAACTAGTTTATTAGAAGGAGTATTTTAGGACCGTATTAACCAGACATTAAGAAGTTATAGGGTAAAGAATCAAGCATGATCAAATAGATTTATGAAGTAAATAAAATAATAAGGATCACCTTCATCAGTTAATAAACCTATGGGACAGATACTCCCCACATGGCATGTTTTGATACACATCATTATTTTCCTAGATCCTCTGTTACAAAAAGAAAATTTAGTTTCCAAACTTTTAAGTAGTTAACTTGTTTTCTAAAAACCTTGGTTTTGGCTATAGTAATTGATTAGCAAATTCAGAGAAGAAAATAACTGAAAAACAATTAGTTGTCATTATGCAAATAAAACAGTTGACTGACTGAATCTTTTATTTATTTATTTTTTTTTCCAGCTGTTCTGCTGTGAAGTAGGGGGGCATAAGCTTTGAATTCCATAAAGGAAGGGATATTAAACTGATGGATTATTTCTTGCAAAAGCAGCTGTTGGTTTTAAACTACTTGTACTCAAATATGTATCTCTGCAGACATAAAATATTTTAAAGTATTATTTTTGGTTCTACATAGGATTTTGACCATATTTTAAATGAAACCATAATCTTTTTAGAAAAAAGATTCCTTAAAACTTACTAAATAAAATCCTGATATTTTAGATCTGAGGACATTGAAGTCCAATGACTAAACAATTCATTTGCCATTCTAAGGTCACACAATTTGTTGATGGCTGAGAAAGGATTCTCAATTCTTATACTTTTATTCTGGTAATCATTCTATTAAGCTGCTTCTCTCACTGTACTAACTCCATAATATATATGGTGCATTAATACAAGTGTTTGTAAGATGAGAATTATAAGTAATGCTAAATGTTCATTTAAATGGTCTTTCAGAAAAAAAAAAGTAAACTTCAAGAGTAATACAAATACATTTTCATGAGGACTAAGCCCTCTCAGAGGGTCAAAGACACATAGTTGAGTTAATGGAATTTTGGTCACCACTTGGTCATATGAAAACAAATGTGTAAAATGTTGATCCTGATGCCTATTTCTCATTTAAGTAGGTAAATTTTAAAAGAAATTTTGCAAATTACCTTTGTTCTTTAAAATATGAGTTTGAATAGTATCATCCAAGTTAGAGCTGTAGTTAAAACTGGAAAAAAATTCTGAAAAGTATTATTTTTCTTCTATTTATAATTTATAACTCCATTATAATATCATAGAATCATTATTTCATGTTTGGCTTAAGTGCCTCCTAGAATTATTTCTTAAGTTAAAAAAACCTGGAGAAAGTTTCTCTTTATTTCAAAGCAATGGTTTGGAATATTTTTATCTGAAATTATTTTTTATTTTTGCATTTCTGCCCATCAATCTGGAAATAATAATAGCTCATAAGAAAAAAAGCACCAAATATTTTTCAGATTAAAACTTCTCACAATAGTATACTTTCACAAAAGTGTAACTTTCAACAACAAATTTACAAGTGATAACAGAAATAAAAGCTTCATTTGAAAAAAAGGATAAGCTAACAGCGACTATCATGCTTAGAATATATATCTACTAAATACTATTCAATTACCAGAAAAAAATGCAAGATTCTACTGATGTACGCCATTTCAAAGTCAAATATAAGAAGCAATATACAAGTCCATTACAAAATGAATACTGAAATAAGTAAGTACAAAAGATATTGTAAGAATGAATATTCACACACAAAATGGTCCACACAAATCAAGATGGATTCATCTGGGAAAAAAATACTTGCTCAGAGGAAAAGCAGATATATCCAACATAGTTGCACTAAGAAAAAAAAGCAAAGTTTTAAGAAACAGGACTAATGAAATTTTAATTAACTAATGTTTACATCTTTTCAACTCCTTTAATTCTTCCTAAGTCACACTGAAATTATGAAAGCAAACAATATACAGAACTACCTGCCATTAAACCACCACATGCTATTTTTCTAAGAGGAGTTTGCTCATGTTGTGCCCCTCTCTGACACAAACTCTGCAAAGGGTTTACAACTGAGGTCAGGGAAGCATACCTTTTTCCTCTTCTACTCCCAAAATAACCTATGCAAAGAATTTGTGTATCTGCCTTCATCACTAGACTGTGACTCCTTAAACAAAAAAACAATGTTTTATTTATCTTTAGCTCCAGAATGCTTAGGAAAGCACACTTAGCATGTAAGAGGCTTTCAAAAAGACCTGTTTAAAAAAAAAAAAAAAAAAAAAACAACCTTAATCATTTTTGTCCAGAACAACAGTACACAAATCTGATGAAATTAAATCAGTGGCACATGTTAGTGACAGGTTCTTCATCCCTGTTTTAAAAATTTTCCAATAGCCATACAAGTAAGAAAAAAATACCACTTGTATCAGTATTACACAAACACAGAAGAGATGCCCTGCTTAAAATTATTTGCTAATAAATTATACAACAAGGTGAATTATCAATACAGATAAGACTACCTTCCTCTTTCCACTAAGTATTCTCCAGGACTTTCTTCTTCAAAACTCTAACTCTCCAGGACGTTCCTTGATCTCCTTGATTTTGTTTATTCCACTTCTACAATGCAAAGAATCCTCCAAAGAAAAGCAGTGGCAATACTGAAAGACCCAGATTCAAAACAGAGTTGACTTTTAGAAAGAGAAGTACTATTCGCCTTGATAGTTTGCTTTATTACTAAACAGATAACGAGATTGTGAAGATAGAAAAGACTTACTTAAAAATAAGTGATACTGAATGACCCAAGATATCTCCATATAGCAAATATTTAATATAGAACCTATCTATTCTAACCCTCCAGTCTATATTTGGTTTAGATCATTCTTGCACTGCTATAAAGGAATACCTGAGACTGGGTAATTTATACAGAAAAGAGGTTTAATTGGCTCACAGTTCTGTAAGCTTTACAAGCATGGTGCCAGAATCTGCTAGGCTACTGGGAAGGCCTCAAGGAACTTTTATTCATGGCTGAGGGCGAAGCAGAGGCAGGCACATCCCATGGCAAGAGCAGGAGCAAGACAGCGAAAGCAAGAAGGTGCTACACACTTTTAAACAACCAGATGTGGTGAGGAATCATTCACCATTGCGAAGACAGCACCAAGGGAATGGTGCTAAACCATTCATGAGAAATCCACCGCCATGATCCAATCACCTCCCACCAGACCCCAACTCCAACACTGGGGATTACATTTCAACATGAGATTTGGCAGGGACAAATGTCCAAACTATATCAGGATTCTACCCATTAAACTCACTCACTATCCTACAGATTACAGATCCCTAAAAATAACCCAGTAAATACATAATTTCCTTTTTTTTTTTTTTTTTTTTTTTTTTTTGAGACGTAGTCTGGCTCTGTTGCCCAGGCCTGAGTGCAGTGGCTTGATGTCGGCTCACTGCAAGCTCCGCCCCCCGGGTTCACGCCATTCTCCTGCCTCAGCCTCCAGAGTAGCTGGGACTACAGGCGCCTGCCACCACGCCCGGCTAATTTTTTTGTATTTTTAGTAGAGACGGGGTTTCACCGTGTTCGCCAGGATGGTCTCTATCTCCTGACCTCAAGTGATCCGCCCGCCTTAGCCTCCCAAAGTGCTGGGATTACAGGCGTGAGCCACCGCGCCCAGCCCATAATTTCTTTTCCTGCTGGTTAGGTAATGAGTTTCCAGTGAGATAAGAGAGGTCATTCCTTGCCATTATGAAGATGAAGATAGTCTCTAATTTTAAGTAAGTGAAAAAGGATAAGGAAGGTTCTATTTTGGCATTAACCCCAACTTCCAGCTTTTCTTTTATTAAGGGTATTTTGCTTAAAATAGAGCTTCCTTTAGATAGGACCAAAAAAAACACCTAAATATTTTAAAAATTGATTTTAAGGACCTGTAAACCAAGAACTTTTGAGATGCTAGTAAGATCACTAAATGCTCACCAGAAGTAAACTCCATGACTTCTAGTACTCATGTAGGTGCCTGTTATCCCTGAAAAGACATACATTTTTTTTCATAACAGCAATGATTGCCATTTAAGCAAAGCCTAATTTTTTTTCTTTTATTTTTCAAACTTGGGAAATAGAAGTGGTAACACCAAAACTGTATGGATATTAAAAGTACACTCTTAAAGAGATCTAAAATATTAATTTAAAAAATGACTTTATATCACATATGATAGTAAAAGATCATCAAGGTTAAGATTGGATGGTAATTCCCAAAATAGCATCACACTGAAAGGGTTAAAATAAGGATACTGAGGCAAATTCTTAAAAAAAAATTACTATCCCCAAAGAAAATATCTTAAAAACAGTACTTAAATGGATTCTCTAGAAAATTTGACTTCTCAAATTCTTTAATAGAGCCAAAAGATGACTTAATAGGTAAGGAACTTCGTTTGAGAAACTCTAGGAACTAATAACAACCTCTCAAGACTTCAAAACAATTCAATCCTTGGACTACGTAAGTATTTACTAGGATGTCAAGAACACACCACTACCACCAATTGATCTCAACTCTGAGCTATTTGATGAAACCCTATTACCTTTAACTAAAAGAAGGTGTAACTAGAAAGGCATCAACCTTTTAAAACCCAGAGGCTCCAACATTAACAGAAGGGAAAAAGTGATCCAGAACACTGCTATGGCAACACTCAGATCTACTCTTAACCTGCCATATGGCAACATAGAACCTCCTCACTGTCTACAGCTCCTGGCCCTACTTTAATGACCTCTGAAGGGCTGACATTTGTTTTCTGATCAAAGTTTCCTAGACCCCTGATCTCTGGCTCTTCTGCTTCCCTGAATTCTCTTTCTCCTTCTCAGCTGCCTAAATATATTTTCCTGCCTCTAACTCAACAATCTTCACTTACATAGGTAGTCAAGCACCATAAGGATTTCTGTGTTACTGTCCATAGACAAGACCTCAGGCTTTGCGTACTCCACCGAAATAGGACCTAGGGTTTTGTTTAATCTTTTTGTTTATATGTGAATTTTGCTTACATTATATTAACTGTTCTGAGCCTGAATACAGATTGAGGAAATACATAAAATACAAATTGTTCAACTTTTTATTAAAATCAGCATTGATACAAGGTTGATAAAATCTGGAATAGATGACTAAAGCAATCTGCATGTGCCCACTAAGGATTTCATTTACTGATGTTACCTTGATCACTAATTAACCATAATTAAGTTGAAAATATTGTACCTGATTAGGTGTTTTCTTAGGGAACTATCGGTTTAACTATGCTATATAGTTAACTATGGTAATAAGGGAGTTAAAAGCTCTGCTTCCATATAGAATCTGAATCTTCTTTATGAAATGGGCAAACAATGTCTACATATAATTTTGCCATAAATTAAACTAATATGGCTATGTTGTAAGAATTTTAGAAGTTTATGTGTAAGGGAATGAGGGAGGATAGAAATTTTAAAAATATTTCAGTATTAGCATGGTAGATCAGACACAAGTATCTTGGGAGAAACTTGCTCAGCAACTAATTACATCCCACTCCAAAATAATATTTAGACCCATTTTTCTCTAAGAAACTTAATTTGAATTATTTGCTGTCTACCTAACAATTTTATCTTTAACTTAGATGGTCTTTATTGAAAGTAAAATTGAAGGCTTCTATTTTGTGCATCAATAGAAATAAGAACTAAGAATTTATTAGCTTCAATGATGCTAAATCCCCAAATATCTCCAAACTAATAATTGAAGACACTGCTTAAATGTGTCTTCAAGCAGAACCTTACCTTTAGTCCCACAAGTTTTGCTGATATCTCCAAATCAGAATCTCTTAAAAATATTTGTAATATACTTTGGGAGGCTGAGGAGGGCGGGTCGCCTGAGGTCAGTAGTTCAAGACCAGCCTGGCCAACGTCGTGAAACCCTGTCTCTACTTAAAATACAAAAATTAGCCGGGCACGGTGGTGGGCGCCTGTAATCCCAGCTACTCAGGAGGCTGAGGCAGGAGAATTGCTTGAATCCAGGAGACAGGTTGCAGTGAGCCAAGATCATGCTACTGCACTCAAGTCTGGGTGACAAAGACAGACTCCATCTCAAAAAAAAAAAAAAAATTTCTAATACTATGGCAGTGGCTATGGTAAGCCTAAACAATATATAAAAGCAAGCCTAAACAATATATAAAAATTATTCTCCCTTTTGAGAATGTTTTTCTTGACTGTTTTCTCTTAAACTTGAGAATATGAATTTTAAATACATATAAGCTTCTGTACTATGGTTCTGCAACCATATAAAAAATAATTTTCAGTGAAGAGTTTCACAATTATAATCAAGAAACAATGATAACACTCAAAAGATCTTTCTCTTTTATTTGATTCTCAGGAAACCACTACTCTTCCAATAAATATTATTTGGGACACAAAGTAATCATCACTAAAATCTATAGCCGCATTAAAAAATAAACAGGTTTTGGGGGGTGGAGGAGGGGGGAGGCTAACCTAACAGTAAAAAACAGAAAGTAGGAAAACACCATAGTGATATTATGTCTCTTCCTTCACAACGTCAAATATTTAGTTAGCATATCTTTCTATGCTTTTGCAAAGCCTTTCATAATTATCCTTCAAACGTTTTAAAGAAAATTTACTTTTTGAAAAACATGAAATTAAAAAGAGAATGGTCACAAACATCTCTTAATGATGCTTTTTGTCTTTCATGAGTGATAATGACAAATTTCCAGATTGGTGAGCATAAAGCTGTGTCTACACACGACCCATCTGAAATCCCACTGATTTTACTAACTCCCTATCCCCTGCCCCTCAAAAAGATCATTATGTAGACTTCACCAAAGATGCAGGGACACTCTATAATAAATTGGTTTAATGAACATATCTTGTAACTTATACAAAAAATTTTTATTTCAACTGAGAATTAGTCATTAAAAAAACAATAAATTAATAAAACAGGGTTATGAACACTACAGTAAAACCAAATTTTCCCACAGGTTAATGCTTAAAAAGCTAAATGTAGGCCAGGTGCGGTGGCTCACGCCTGTAATCCCAGCACTTTGGGAGGCCGAGGCGGGCAGATCACGAGGTCAGGAGATCGAGACCATCCTAGCTAACACAGTGAAACCCTGTCTCTACTAAAAATACAAAAAATTAGCCAAAAAATTAGCCTGGCATGGTGGCACGTGCCTGTAGTCCCAGCTACGCGGGAGGCTGAGGCAGGAGAATCGCCTGAACCTAGGAGGCACAGGTTGCAATGAGCCAAGATCATGCCACTGCACATAAGCCTAGGCGACAAAGCAAGACTCCATCTCTCAAAAAAAAAAAAAAAAAAAAGAAAAGCTAAATGTAGGAAGATTTTACAGGGCACAAGTTTCAAGAAAGTTATCATGACTTTATAAAATTGAGATAAAATTTATGTTACATACTTACCACTAATGTTGAGTTCAAAATAAATGAATTTAAAAATAATCTACAGTATTTCCTAATTTCATATTATACATCATTTAAAGTATTTTTAAACTTACCCAAATGAAGTAATGTAAACTGGGCTGCCAGTTCCTTTGCATCTTCTAACGTAGTACAGAGTTTGTCTGGCATGAAGTAACTCTGGGATCCATTTGCAATAGCAGGAATAACTATCTTATACACCAAGAGTACTTTCCCATCTTGACTTGTTGTTGAATATAAATAATATTCTGGTGGTGCCCAGTTATTTTTGTTGCAGTAATAATCCAAATGCATTACTGCAGAATTAAAATGATTGGATTTTAAAGAATACATACTAATTGGAGTAAGCTTTGTTCCAGGATAAAAAGGGTAAGTGCATCTTTCAACTTCAGGCGGACTTGGGCTATGCTGACCATTGAGACGAGCAGGAAGAGTTGGCAGCTTGCCTAGAGTTTTTGGGTGGCTCTCTTCTTTGTTAGCAAACACAATCAGATTTTCAGAATTTGGACTAATCTGACCATTAAGATGCTGTCTCCAAGTGTTTTCTTTATTTACTGGTTTAGCTAGTGTTACCTCAATACTTGCTCCATCAATGCATTTTCCATTCATAACAGACATGGCAGCCACTGCATCTTCTCGGTTGAAAAAGTGAACAAAAGCATAATCTCTAAGTTTCTTTACCCGTTCAACTGCACCAGGCTTAAATTTATTGAATTCTGCTTTAATTGTTTCCTCTGTAGTTGAGATCATTAAATTTCTTACATAAAGAACTTTAACTCTCTGCATGGTTTCCTCATCCACCTCTTTCTCTGGGTCAGCCCAATCTACCTGAATGGTGTGGCCCCATAGTTGGAATGTTCCTGTAAAAAAAAAATAATAATTTGAAGAGAATTAAAATAAAGAATAAAAGGTAAAGATGTTCAGTAAAACTGTTTCCCCAGAGAAGCAGAAACTCAACTACACATCAATAAATTTGGTTAAGCATTTGTTTCCTATTCACACAAAAATTTTTACTAAAGTAAATAACTAAAACTTACTATGTAATTTCAGAGTCAATAGAACAAATACACTTCAAAGATAGATCTTTATCAGAAGAATTAAGTGTTGCCCTTTGGATTTTTATTAAACAACAATTAACAGCTCAAAGTGTATATATCCAGTAAAAATATCATAAATAGGACTCATTTTACTGGAACAATTTCTTGTCTTTTAGAATCATGTAATTTATTTTACTTCATTACTCAAACAATTCTTTACTCTTCTTTAAGTGACATTAGTATTTTGATAATATTGATCCCTGATGTACTATCATCTCTCCATATTTGTAATAATGTTAATATTGAAAAACAACCTTTCAGTTTACCTGGAATTAGTTTCCTCCTTGCCATAGCAGCAGCTCTGTGAGATTCATATTCCACAAATGCAAAACCACGATTTTTGGTCTTATCAGTTGCACTTGGATAAACAATGACATCTACAACTCCTTCTGTAACTTTCTTCATTTCATCTAAAATTTCTTCTTTCTTCTTTTCCTTGGGAATAGCTCCAATAAATAATCTACAATTATCCAGGCTTACACACACACCAATAAACTTCCCTGGTCGAATTTCATAATTATTAAGAATTCTGATGGCTAATTGGGCTTCTTCTTTTGTAGTGTACATCACAAAAGCATAACCTCGATTTTCACCACTAAATTCCATCATAAGTCGAAATTCATATATCTTCCCAGCTCTTTCAAATACAGGAACTAACTCATCTTCATACATATCACGAGGTATTTTTCCTACAAAAACTTCACAGCCTCTAGGTGGAGGTGGACCTTCCCAACCTGAACGACAAAAATGAAAAGACACATAAATTCTAATTGGATATTTGTACTCACTATTCAATCATATATTCATTCAACAAATTTGCTGTGCTATGTGCCACTCACAATTCTAGGTATTGGTGATACAACAGTGGACAAAATAAAGCCCCTTCCCTTATGAAGCTAATATTCAATAGAGAAGGGAGATAACAAGTGAGTGGTTAAGTGCTACGAAGAAAATCAAGGGAGTGGTCAGGCAAATCTCTGGGTACGTGAGATTTAAGCAGAGACCTGAATAGAATGAGGGAGTGAGCCATGAGGATTATCTGGGAAAAGGGCATTTGGAAAGAAGAAAAAGCAAGCGCTTTTATGTCAGAGCAACATAGATTATGGAAGCCTGTACAGCTAACATGTACGTGAGAAAGGAAGAAAGTGGTAAGTGCTACAGCCATTGAGGTACCCAGAAGCCAGATTTTTATTTTAAGTGTGATAAACTGAAGGGTTTCGGGCAAAGGAATTGTACTGACTATTGGTAGAAAAGTCGAACATTCTATTTACCTGTTTCCATTTGGTTTTCTAGTTTAAACACCACTCACTTACTCACTGCTGTTTCAAATTCCTCCCCAGATGATCTCCTCTTTAACACCTAGAGTAGCACCCTTTTTCCTACTTTCCTAATCCTGACTTCTTTCTCAACCTAGCCCAGCTTCTTTCTCAACTGCTTCTTAGATGAAGAGCAGGGCTGAAAAAATGTAATGGTAAGACATGAATAACATTTATAATTTAACTCTCCTCAACAGTAAAAAAAAAAATGTCTTAAAGCAGTTACAAGGAGAGAGCTATTGTTTGGAATACTTGTGGGGATACACATCTAATCTACATGACGAGGTTAAAGATTAAATTTAAAAGACTGTAAACAAATCCACACCTGGAGGAGGACCGCCAAATTTCCTTTGTCCATTTTCCTGAACCATGTTGTAACCAGTCTTTTCCATCAAAGCAAGTAATGCTGCTTCATTCTGAATACCAGTTCGAACTTTACTGCATCCATTTGTTCCATCTATATTTTCTTCATTCATGGTTGCAGTTCCTAAAATAAAGTTTAATAACACTGGTTAAGTTTACAACAGAATACCAAGAATCTATAAGGCATTTCTTTGGGTTGCAGAAAAACAAAGACAGTTGTGGCTGGCATGTTTGATTAGCCTTCACTGTCCTCTGAGGTTCTGCCCCAAAGCTCTTCCCTACAGTGGAAACTTGGAAACTTCTTTCAATGTCACTGACCAATTATGCAGTACCTTTAGAAGGCCTAAGCTATAAGAAAGGGACACAAACAATGAAAAAGAGAAAGCAACAAAGAATGAAAAAACAAAATTAAGTGAAAGAGAAGAAAAAGGAAAGCAAACAGAGTAACAACAAAATGTAAGCCATCAATGAATATACCTGCCAATCTACATAGCCCAAAATTTAAATCATTTTATCATCTAAGCCAACTGGATTTTCCTGTGGCTTACATTCAACCAATAAATGGCACCCCAACAAACATATTTCCTCTCTTCCAAACTCTCACAACCAGAAATCTGGGTGTTATCCCAGAGTCCTTTGATGCACAGCTCATCAGTCACTAAGACTTGAAGATTTTATCAGATATTTATTTCATTTTTTGAGACAGAGTCTCACTTTGTCACCCAGGCTAGAGTGCAGTGGTGTGAAGGTGGCTCCTGCAGTGTTGGCTTCCTGGTCTCAAGTGATTCTCCCACCTCAGTCCCCCAAGTAGCTGGGACTGCAGGCACACACCACCATGCCTGGCTAATTTTTGTTTTTATTTTGTGTGTGTGTAGAGACTGGGTTTCACCACGTTGCCCAGGCTGGTCTCAAACTCCTGAGCTCAAGCAATCCACCCACCTAGGCCTCCCAAAGTGCTGGGGTTATAGATGTGAGCCACTGCACCCGGCCCTAAATATTTCTTGAAATCAGTCTATTCCCGTCCATCCCTACAGCCTATTCTCAGATGATTATTTTTTACTTCAATTAGTGCTAGGTTCCTAAATGCTGTTCCAACTTTTAATTTTGTTGCCCTCAAAATCTCCATAATGCTATCAAGGTGATATAAAATATATATCTGCTTAATTTAAACTTCTATTTCAAATCAAAAATAAGGAAGAAAATGACTAAATTATTAATCTTAAAATCAGGGAGCTCCTTCTAAAAAATAAGTTTAAAAGCTTCAAAGGTACCTGGGAGTTTGAGGCTGCAGTGAGCCGTGACTGCAAACCACTGCACTCTGGCCTGGGCAACAGGGCAAGATCCTGTCTGAAACAAACAAATCCCTCAAAAAAATACATTAATAGATTTTTTTACTACATAAAAATACTTTAGAAGGCAAAAGAAAAAATCCACAAAAACTAAGTCAAAAAAATTACACAGAAAAATGATCTGCAATACATCATAAAGAGCTAATTTCCTTAAAATAAAAAGGACAGCATGGTGTTATAAAGTGCAGACTCAGGTTCAAGACTGGCTAAAAAATCTGAATCCTGGTTCTTCCCTTACTAAGCTCTGACTTTGGACAAATTATTTAGCCTCTCAATGCCTATGTTTACCTGTCTATAATAAGTAGATAATAATAGTTTCTACCTCAGGGTAGAAGGATTCAGGGGATTCAAAATAAAGGGTTTAAAATAGGTCTTTGCATATAAGCACTATACATGTATTTCCTATTATTATTACCTAATAAAACAGTAAGAAAAACAAACTGCACAGCAGAGCCTGCAAATTCAAAATGCATTCATTTGTTCAACAAAGATTTATTAAGGACCAACTATATTCTATGCACTATTCCTTACATCTGGGATATTATTAGTAAATAAAAGGCCAGAATTTCTCCCTTGCATAGCTTACACTCTAATGGGGAAAAAATAACAGATGATTAAAAAAAAAAAGCAAATAATAAGAGGTAAGAATACTTAGGGAAAAAAGGAATAGGAATAGGGCACATGGGTCAGTGGAAGGTTGACAAGGGAAGAGAACCTGCCAATTTAAACAGGAAAGCTAGTGCAGACTTCACCAAAAAGGTAACCTTCCAGCAAAGAATTAAGGAGCCTACCCATGCAGCTATCTGGGAAGAACATCCCATACAAATGGAGAAACCAAGACAAAGGCCTTATATAAAGGTGTACTTGGCATGTACAAGGTATACCTTGTAAGTTAGGTAACTTCTTATAAACTTTAGCTTTTATTCTGAGTTAAATGAGGAGCTACTATAGATTCTGAGCATACAAGTAACAGGTTCTTTCATTTTAAAAGGATCATCTGGCTGTTGCATGGGGAAGTCAGTAGAAGGGCAAAGGTGGAAGCAGTGAGACCACTTATGCCTGTAATCTCAGCACTTTGGGAGGCCGAGGCAGGCAGATCACGAGGTCAGGAGGTCGAGATCATCCTGGCTAACACGGTGAAACCCCGTCTCTAGTAAAAATAGAAAAATTTAGCCGGGCGTGGTGGCGGGTGCCTGTAGTCCCAGCTACTCAGGAGGCTGAGGCAGGAGAAAGGCAAGAACCCGGGAGGCGGAGCTTGCAGTGAGCAGAGATAGCACCACTGCAGTCCAGCCTGGGCCAAAGAGTGAGAATCCATCTCAAAAAAAAAAAAAAAAAAAAAGTGATTACTACTAAAATCCAGGCAAGAGATGATGGTGGCATGGGCCAGAGAGGTTGAGGTGGAAGGGATAAGGGGTCTGACTTGAGATATATTTTGAAGTACATCCAACAGAATTTTCTGACATACTGTGAGATAAACAGGCAAGTGAAGGATGACACCACAGTTCTGGCCTAAGCAACAAGGAAAGAGATGAACACTGAGTAGAACTGGTTTTAGGGGTAAGATCAGGGTTCAGTTTAAGGAATTTTAAATTTGAATATCAAACGATCACTCAAATGCTTTTACAAGGCTCTGGCAAGAAATGTTAAGAGGTCAAGAAATGAGACCATAAGAAATGGAATCGACCGTGCTCCTATAAAGTCCAATGCACCATCTGAAAAAGGCAGTGGCTACTAAACTCCAGCAAACTAATACAAGAGAATCCAGCTTGCCTAGTTATACCAAATTTTCCAATTTTTCAAAATCTCTCAATATTTAAAAACTGAAAATTAATTTGTCAAACAGCTATGAAAGTGTACAGACCAAACAAAACACCTGCAGGCTTCCTACGGTTCAAACTCTGGGCTGCATGAGGGCAGAGACCACTTCAGCCTTCAACACTTTCTCAAGTACCCACCACAGTCTTTGGCACACAGAAGGTACTCAATAATTATCTGCTGGGAAGCCCAACAGAAAACTCAGGGAAAACTTAAGACTTCATACACTGCTAGCATGTATGCATTACTGAAATTATCCTTTTAGAGGAAAATTTGATAATAGCTATCAAAATCTAAAATACACATATACTTCATAATTACTAAAAATTTAACCTACAGATATAACTGCAAGAGTATACAAAGATATAAGCATAAGAATGTTCAGTGAAACACTGTATATAGAAATAACAGTCTAGAAAATATCTAGCTCCTCTTCAGTAGAGGACTGCATCAAAAATCAGGATACAACTATACAGGGAATGTTATGAAGCTATTAAAGAATATCATAGATTTGCATGTACTGATATGGAAAAATATTCAAGAAATACGTGAGAAAGAGCAAGTAGAAAATATATTTACTTTCATATCAACTGTGTGTTGTTTTAAAGATATACATGTACACATTCATAGATGGCTGTGTAGGAATATAAAAATGTTGAAATAATTTACAAGGAACTTTACTGGTAGTTATCATTGGTGAGTAGGAATAAGGACTCAAGTAACCCTTACTTCTCACTTTTCTGTGATTATCAAGAGCATGTGCTACTCAATTAAATAAAAAGCCCTTTCAGGGGTTTCCCAGTTCCTTAAAAATAAAATCTGAACTCTTTAGAAAGCCATAAGGATCTCTTCATCATCTCTTCCTCCAGCTTCATTTCTTATGATATGCCAACAACAATGCTGACCTATTTGCAAATTCTCAAATATGCCAGGTGCTCATATATGTTCCTTTACATAGATTGTTCCTATAGTCCTTCTCTACTTTCTTGGCCTTTCCTATTCCTAATATTCTCCAGGAAAACCCTCCCTGACCCTCCCTCTCAACTCTAAATCAAGTATTCCCTTATATGTACTTATATCACAGAATCCATTTCAGCGTGCTGTGACTGTCAATTCCCTCCATCTCTCTCCCACTACCAGACATTGAAAAGGGTCTAGCCTTTCATTTCTGAATCCAAAGCACCATGCAGACCCCTTGGCATATGATAACTATTCATTCAATGAATGAGACACGGAAGGAGAGACATCATGATTTAACTAAAAATAATGCAACTGTGTGGGAGAAGACCTGAATTCCAGTTGTTGGTCAGATTTTGGCAAGCACTTTACAACTCTGACCTTTACTTTCTTAATCTATGAAATTCCATTTTACTTCTACATTTAATGATTTAGCATATTAAATACCACATATAATGACACGCACTTTATATACATTATCTCATTTATTATTTATAGTAATCTGTAAATATTTTTCTTTTCCAGTTTAAAAATACATAAAACGAGACTAAGAGAGAAAGTAATAGTGCTATTAAATTGATAAGGTAAATATGGTATTCAAATCAGAAATCTGTTTGCCCAAATGCTGGGCTACTAACCCCTACTTGTACTACTCTAATTTTAGATATTTAAAATTCACATCTCTGAAAAGCTATGTGATTTACTTGAGGTCATGTAACTTACAAATAGCAACACAAATACCTGAATCCAGATTTTTTTCACAATTTTTTTTAGATTATAACATCAAATCAATTATTCATACCTTCTCCGAAAAACTATTTCATGCTTTTAAAACAACCCAAACATTGTATTAACTTAGATGGAAAAGTCCGGCAACAAAACTTTTTGGAAAACCCTTAATAAAAGTAATTTCAGATTTATAAGAAACCTTAAAAATCATCTAATTCAACCACCCACCTGATATGTGTATCCTCTTTATAATATTGCCACAAAGAAGATATGCATCTTATTTTTTATTCTTACAAAGAACTCATTATCCTCTAGAGCAACTAAACTTTGAATAATTATTTAAGAAACTTATTTCTTATAATGTATCATAATCTCTTTCCTGGTTAACTTTCACATTTCGATCTTGATTTTAACTTTCTGGCAAAAGTGAACCTGCCCCTTTCATATAACTGCATTTGAAAGATGATTCACTTCCAAGTACCTGGGACTACAGTCATGCACCACCACATCCAGCTAATTTTTTATACAGATGGGGTTTCAATATGTTACCCAGGCTGGTCTCGAACTCTTGGGCTCAAGTGATCCACCGCCTTGGCCTCTCAAAGTGCTGGAATTACAGGCGTGAGTCACGGCACCTGACCTCATTACCAGTTATTTTAACCAGACACTTCCTAAACTGGCATCCCTTAAAACATTGTTCCAGAGGTGATTAAAAGGTCTCCAAAATGTGTTCGATGTCTAAACACACCTGAGAAATCACTATGCATCCCTCTTAAAAGGATCACAATGATCATCTGCATATTTAAGGCCAAGAAAAGTTTCAGTTAAAAAGAACTTTCCAGCTTTAACTCAAGTGTTTCAGCATGATACCCTAATTGTCCTTAGCCTATCTATTAAGTTTCTACAGAACCATGGGAAAATGCTACTTAACTGTTTCTTATATGACATAGTTTATGTTCTCTCATTATCCTGTCTCTTCTTCCTTCAAAAGTGTGGTTGGCCAAAATTGAAAACTCCAGCAATACAGATAAACAGCACAATGGTGTTCTACAAAGCTGCATGCTATTGTCGGTTGAAATTCAGCATGCTGTCAACAAAAACCTCAAATCTGCCCCACCCTATATCAAGTATCCGAATTTAGAATCAACTTAATCTCATCTTATTAGATTCAACCTGCCAGTTCTTCCTACCTCCCGTCTGATCTTTTACTCACTTGTCCCATCCATGAAATGGCTAATTTTTCCCGCTTTTCCAAGATAAAACTTTTCATATTAGCAAACTTAAGAGCTATCTGTCCAAATATAAACAGAAAACATCTTAAAACTTCCCTAGTCTGACCATTAGTAATAGAATTCTGCATTGTCTTAAATAGTCAACATTGTTTCATAATTGTAATATCATAGAATATCTACCCATCAATACAATCTGGGCCCTGATAATTCATTTTAAGATGTATTTACATTTGAAAAACAGGTATATGTGATATTCTGAAGAAACTCATTTTGCTTTTTTTAAAAATTTATTCCCCCGAGGGGAATGCACCATACCTGGAGGTACTGCAATATCAAGTCAGTGAGTGGAGCAGATGGAGCAAGCTCCTATTCCCTCTCCTGGCTCCAAAAATCCATTTAAGATCTGTTCTCAGCACAACATATCAGAATCCCTGGGACACATTTAAAGCAGTGTGTAGAGGGAATTTTATAGCACTAAATGCCCACAAGAGAAAGCAGGAAAGATCTAAAATTGACACCCTAACATCACAATTAAAAGAACTACAGAAGCAAGAGCAAACACATTCAAAAGCTAGCAGAAGGCAAGAAATAACTAAGATCAGAGCAGAACTGAAGGAGATAGAGACACAAAAAAACCTTCAAAACATCAATGAACCCAGGAGCTGGTTTTTTGAAAAGATCAACAAAATTGATAGACCACTAGCAAGACTAATAAAGAAGAAAAGAGAGAAGAATCAAATGCAATAAAAAATGATAAAGGGGATATCACCATCGATCTCACAGAAATACAAACTACCATCAGAGAATACTATAAACACCTCTACACAGATAAACTAGAAAATCTAGAAGAAATGGATAAATTCCTGGACACATACACCCTCCCAAGACTAAACCAGGAAGAAGTTGAATCCCTCAATAGACCAATAACAGGCTCTGAAATTGAGGCAATAATTAATAGCCTACCAACCAAAAAAAGTCCAGGACCAGATGGATTCAAAGCCAAATTCTACCAGAGGTACAAAGAGGTGCAGGTACCATCCCTTCTGAAACTATTCCAATCAATAGAAAAAGAGGGAATCCTCCCTAACTCATTTTATGAGGCCAGCATCATCCTGATACCAAAGCCTGGCAGAGACACAACAAAAAAAGAGAATTTTAGACCAATATCCCTGATGAACACTGATGCAAAAATCCTCACTAAAATACTGGCAAACCGAATCCAGCAGCACATCAAAAAGCTTATCCACCATGATCAAGTGGGCTTCATCCCCAGGATGCAAGGCTGGTTCAACATACACAAATCAATAAACGTAACCCATCATATAAACAGAACCAAAGACAAAAACCACATGATTATCTCAAAAGATGCAGAAAAGGCCTTTGACAAAATTCAACAGCCCTCCATGCTAAAAACTCTCAATAAATTAGGTATTGATGGGACGTATCTCAAAATAATGAGCTATTTATGACAAACCCACAGCCAGTATCATACTGAATGGGCGAACACTGGAAGCATTCCCTTTGAAAACTGGCACAAGACAGGGATGCCCTCTCTTACCACTCCTACTCAACATAGTGTTGGAAGTTCTGGCCAGGGCAATCAGGCAGGAGAAATAAATAAAGGGTATTCAATTAGGAAAAGAGGAAGTCAAATTGTCCCTGTTTGCAGATGACATGATTGTATATTTGTAAAACCCCATTGTCTCAGCCCAAAATCTCCTTAAGCTGATACGCAACTTCAGCAAAGTCTCAGGATACAAAAGCGTTGTGCAAAAATCACAAGCATTCTTATACACCAATAAAAAACAGAGAGCCAAATCATGTGAAGCAATTCACAATTGCTTCAAAGAGAATAAAATACCTAGGAAGCCAACTTACAAGGGATGTGAAGGACCTCTTCAAGGAGAACTATAAACCACTGCTCAATGAAATAAAAGAGGACACAAACAAATGGAAGAACATTCCATGCTCATGGATAGGAAGAATCAATACATGAAAATGACCATACTGCCAAAGGTAATTTAGACATTCAATGCCATCCCCATCAAGCTACCAATGACTTTCTTCACAGAATGGGAAAAAACTACTTTAAAGTTCATATGGAACCAAACAAGAGCCTACATTGCCAAGACAATCCTAAGCAAAAAGAACAAAGCTGGACGCACCACGCTACCTGACTTCAAACTATATAAGGCCACAGTAACCAAAACAGCATGGTACTGGTACCAAAACAGAGATATAGACCAATGGAACAGAACAGAGCCCTCAGAAATAATACCACACATCTACAACCATCTGATCTTTGACAAACCTGACAAAAACAAGAAATGGGGAAACGATTCCCTATTTAGTAAATGGTGCTGGGAAAACTGGCTAGCCATATGGAGAAAGCTGAAACTGGATCCCTTCCTTACACCTTATATAAAAATTAATTCGAGATGGATTAAAGACTTAAATGTTAGACCTAAAACCATAAAAACCCTAGAAGAAAACCTAGGCAATACCATTGAGGACACAGGCATGGGCAAGGACTTCATGACTAAAACACCAAAAGCAATGGCAACAAAAGCCAAAATTCACAAATGGGATCTAATTAAACTAAAGAGCTTCTGCACAGCAAAAGAAACTACCATCAGAGTGAACAGGCAACCTACAGAATGGGAGAAAATTTTTACAATCTAACCATCTGACAAAGGGCTAATATCCAGAATCTCCAAAGAACTTAAACAGATTTACAAGAAAAAAAATCAAACAACCCTATCAAAAAGTAGGCGAAGGATATGAACAGACACTTCTCAAAAGAAGACATTTATGCAGCCAACAGACACATGAAAAAATGCTCATCATCACTGGCCATCAGAGAAATGCAAATCAAAACCACAATGAGATACCATCTCATACCAGTTAGAATGGTGACTATTAATAAGTCAGGAAACAACAGGTGCTGGAGAGGATGTGGAGAAATAGGAACACTTTTACACTGTTGGTGGAACTGTAAACTAGTTCAACCATTGTGGAAGACAGTGTGGTGATTCCTCAAGGATCTAGAACTAGAAATACCATTTGACCCAGCCATCCCATTACTGGGTCTATACCCAAAGGATTATAAATCATGCTGCTATAAAGACACATGCACATGTATGTTTACTGTGGCACTATTCACAATAGCAAAGACTTCACACCAACCCCAATGTCCATCAATGATAGACTGGATTAAGAAAATGTGGCACATATACACCATGGAATACTATGCAGCCATAAAAAAGGGTGAGTTCATGTCCTTTGTAGGGATATGGATGAAGCTGGAAACCATCATTCTCAGCAAACTATGGCAAGGACAGAAAACCAAACACTGCATGTTCTCACTCATAGGTGGGAACTGAACAATGAGAATACTTGGACACAGGGTGGGGAACATCACACATCGGGGCCTGTCATGGGGTGGGGGGAGGGGGGAGGGATAGCATTAGGAGATATACCTAATGTAAATGACGAGTTAATGGGTGCAGCATGGCATATGTGTACATATGTAACAAACCTGCACATTGTACCCTAGAACTTAAAGTATTAAAAAAAAAATTTGTCCTCAGATAGAAGACATATCAGATATTAAACTGGTAAGAACACATACTATACTTGATCTTGGCCAAATGGCCGAGAAGAGTAGAAACTCACTTATTGAAAAATAATAAAGTTATATTATAAAGATCTATCTCCAGAGAAGGAAAAAAAGCTATTCAGCTTTCCCTCAATTCCTCCTTTCTTATTCATTTCAATATGATAAGTACTATCTCATTTATATTGCTTTTAGGTTCTTATAATTTACTAACCTCACACAGTTATTGTTTTTGTTTTCCAAGAAGGAGTCTCGCTCTGTCACCCAGGCTGGAGTGCAATGGCGCAATCTTGGCTCACTGCAACCTCCACCCCCCAGGTTCAAGCGATTCTCCTTCCTCAGCCTCCCAAGTAGCTGGGACTACAGGCATGCGCCATCATGCCTGGCTAATTTTTGTATTTTTAGTAGAGGTGGGGTTTCACTATGTTGGTCAGGCTTGTCTTGAACTCCTGACCTCGTGATCCACCCGCCTCAGCCTCCCAAAGTGCTGGGATTAAAGGCGTGAGCCATCGCACCTGGCCTACTGTTTTTTTTTTTTAACCGAAGATTTAAGATGAATATCCTCACACATTTATTAAACAGCAGAAAGAGAAAGTAGACAATAATTTTTATCAAGGGAAAAGTCTTATGTCTGTATTATCAGCTTTGTATCTTACACTATACCTCATGGACAGATTTATGTGACACCAAATGCAATAAATAAAACAATGTAATATTAATAGATTCAGATAAAAGAAATGTTATTTTTTGTAATCAGAACCACTAATAAGATAAAGACTGGCCAGGTACGGTGGCTCACGCCTGTAATCCCAGCACTTTGGGAGAATGAGGCAGGTGGATTGCCTGAGGTCAGGAGTTCAAGACCAGTCTGGCAAACATGGTGAAACACCATCTCTACTAAAAATACAAAAAAATTAGCCAGGCATGGTGGCATGCGCCTGTAATCCCAGCTACTCAGGAGGCTGAAGCTGGGGAATTGCTTGAACCTAGGAGGTGGAGGTTGCAGTGAGCTGAGATCGTGCCACTGCATTCCAGCCTGGGGGAGAAAACGAGGCTCCATCTCAAAAAACAGAAGATAAGGATTGACTGAGCAACCAACTTTCAGTCTTTTGTCTTTTAAAAAATTCAATATTTTTCTATCACCATTCCTTTAAAATTAAGAGCATTTTAAGTGATATAACCACCTTTCTCAACACTGTTTGACTCTAGGTTTTGCCATTAAACCATCACTGAATATTTTGTAGTAATATTACAACTGCAAGTGGACCTTAGATGACCTCCAATACTGTAGACAAGAAAACCAAAAGTAAATACGGTGAAGAGTCCTGCTTAAAGTCACAAAATTAGTAATCGAAAAGACCAAGGGCCCAAACCATGGAGCCTCAGAAATTCATAACTCTGAACTCTCTTCAATAATTTAGTCCAGAGAGTCTTCAATGGCCTCGACATCCCACAGGACATCATACTGGCCCACTACACTAAAGATCATGTTGATAAAATGTGAATAGGGAATTGTGACATTTGTATTTTTTTAAACATGCTACAGGAAAAACAGTGAGAGAAAAAACAAGAATCTAGTTAAGACTGTTGCAAAAGTTTTTGCCATTAAAAGTAATGGCAAAAACTGTGATTACTTTTGCACCAATCTTAATATGGTACCTTACATATGCTACTTACTGGTTATAGAAATAATAAATATGCTCCCGTTTTATCCAAAATGTAGAATTTAACTTAATAAACAAGACTTTTTTTTTTTTTAACTACAATTCACAGCTAGCTCCAAATGGCTGATTTCTGCAATCCAACCCATCTCTACAATTACCTTACAGACCTATTTTTTGGGTTAATTCATGTCTCTAAAGTTCTATTTTTAAAGAGATTATTTAGGTTCTTACAATGAAATAACATGCCAGTCCATACACATTAAAGGCTCCTTTTACTAGATAATGACTAGAAACATATGCTAGACTTTGTACATCTCAAGAAATCTCAATCAAAATATTATGAAAGCTTGAAATTACAGAAGTAAAAGACACACTGAAGAGTCACCAATCCTATATTCTCTTTAGAAAAAAAAACCCTTATCTCAAAGCCTCCAAAACAAAATATATGCACGTGTATAATTCACAAGAAAGTTCAAAATTACCTAACTTTAACATATTAATTTAACAAAAGTTTATTTCTAAAAGAGGCAAAATTCAAGAATAGCCAGAGAAATATAATCAAATCTAAAACAAGCATACAATACATTCATTCTAAAATACTCCAGAATCAACCTGTTACCTAAATATCCAAGAAAGCACATCTGTCCTATACATTAAAGCAAAACTGACATACCAATTGAGGCTTCCAGACTTAATTTGTCCTCTGCCACTTTCAGGTGTGAAGTCACACTACAAAGCGTTCTAAAAACTTATTTCCTTACCCTGCTGACCCAAGTAATCCAAGTAAGAGAAGGAGGGATCCTGAGTAGAATGTCAAAAATGGTTTTGCAGACAAAGTGGGAATGAGAAATTAAAAGTTGTGCCATATTTAACTCTAGCTTTCAGATATGTATTTTTTTCCCTAAACTGTAGACTTTCAAAGATTCCTCTCTAGCTCACTTTCAAAAGAAAAAATAGAAGGAAAAAACCTCTCTAAGGTATGAAGCAAAAGGCCAAGACAGGATAGCAAATCACAAGCTATTCAAGTAACAATGTGAATCAAGCCTTTATCTTTAAGTGCTAACTATATCTCCTTTAATTTTAACCTTCTTAACAATTATCAAAAATATGTATTTTCAAATTTGTACTGCCATTCAAAAATAGAAAGTATATTAATGAAAAAAGACAAGCACAATTTAAGCAAAACATTAATGAAAATTATTTAAAGGAACTGTGTCAGCTGTATTAAAACTACTTCAACTGAAACTTCATCTTCCAAGTTACTGTAAAAATTTAGAAAGCTGTGAAAGAGAACATTATATAATCTTACTGTGGGTTTTAAAAACTCAATGTAATAATGAAAAAAATTAAGAATATCAAAGCGTGCCTTTATAGGGGCACATTAAATGTTTATGACATTTCTTGAATTACATGGTACTAAACTCCTGATTTGTTAGCACTGTTGTCATTGAGTATGGTACATGGAAACCATGGTTGCCAGGTCAATGGTTGCCAGGTCAATGGAGGTTTTCTGTTTGTTTTTAAGCAGCAATTCATTTTAGTGACAGACTGCACTACAGCCACTACACTTCTCGTTCTTGGAAAACGAGAAGAGTTAATCAAAAGTGTGTGGACATGGAAGTCTAAAATTATTTCGAAATAAGTGTACAGATGGATCAGTTCAATTCCATTTTAAGTTGTTTTTATTAAAGAATGAGAGCACATTTTATTGCTAGAAGTTAAATATATAATGGATAAAAGTTTTAATATTAAGTTTAAATTCTGAATGACTTAAAAATTGAACTATTTAAAAAAACTGTAACTAATACTTTTAAAAAATACTGCTTTGAACACAAAGGTGTATATGCTGTTTGAATTCAGGATAAAGATATCTACATATTCTTGTCCAAATTAAGTACACCATTCCTTACACAAGGTCCTTCATAATCTGTTATTTTAAATCTGTTACCAATTTGAACATAGAGATCACATTTTCTTGCCTCATCAATCATCGGGTAGTAAAATGAGAAATAACATTCGGCATTAATATGCAAATCTGGACAATTTTTACAGCAATTACTTGATTTGTAGTCACAAACTCTACTTAAACTGACATGTCTTCCTTCTCCTAACAATAAAATAACACCATTAAACCTGAGACTTAATTTCAGTCCATAAACTGGGTTTGTTCTCGTTATTAATAATTCTTGTTTCATAATATATCCAGTAATGCATATATTTTAAGTGTTGATATGTATTATATTTGGCAATAATATTCAAGTACATTACTCCAACCTCTTAAGTGAAAATCAGCAATCAAAGCAGTGCCTTAAGCAGAAAGCATTAATATTTAGTGATTGCAGGCAGCACTGTCATCTTTATGTCTATAAAGATGCAAACAAATTTTATTAACAATGCAAACAAATGCAGACAGATGCAAACAAAGTTTAAAGTAGAATGTTTTAAACGTGTGCCCTGAAAACAAGTCTATTATTAGACCCCCATAAGGAGATTCAATTCTGAAAAGATCCAAATGGAAGTCTGTCAAACTGTATATACATCGTGGTGATTCTTGAAACGAAAATATCTTCCCATTATTTAAATAAGCAAAATTCTACAGACCCTTGAACATGTCCTTTATATGTTATTCTCCTTATACACGCAACATATCCTGCTTCCTGGTTATAACGCCATTCTCAAACACAAAATCAGGCCAATTTTTAAGAGAAGCCAAGACTTAAAAAGCTCGGCGGCGATGGCTCACGCCTGTAATCCCAGCACTTGGGGAGGCCGAAGCGGGTGGATCATGAGGTCCAGAGATCGAGACCATCCTGGCCAACATGGTGAAACCCTGTCTCTACTAATACAAAAATCAGCTGTGCGTGGTGGCGCGCGCCTGTAGTCCCAGCTACTCCCGAGAGTTTGAGGCAGGAGAATCGCTTGAACCCGGTAGGCGGAAGTTGCAGTCAGCCGAGATCCTGCCACTGCTCTCCCGCCTGGGAGACAGAGCGAGACTCCGTCTCAAAACAAAACAAAAAACAAAACAAAAAAACTCCTTATGATATTTCCTCTTTGATATTTGCCTATATTAGGATTACCACATAACATAAAGGTTACGGGGAATTTATCAAGAATGTAAAGACAGTTAAAGCTTAAAGAACTTAAATATTACCTAAGCTAAATTTACATAGGAGAAAACTGGTGCCCAAATAAATCAAGCAGCTTCGCAATATCTCAGAATATCAACGCCAGGATTAAATGCCGCTGGTTCTGTGGTTTTTCCAGCAGCTCCAAAGAAACATTTTTAAATTAGGGGTTTAAAAACTACCAGATGTTAGGAAACAAAGGCGGTGCCACGACGTGTGCTGCCGTCCGTGTGTCGGGGGAGAGGCGAGCTATCTTCCCTGTGCACCCGCGGCCTCCCACTGCCCACAGCCCAGCACACACGAGGTACTCGGGGAAGAAACAGGGAGACAAAGGCAAAGTAAAGTTCGAGGCTCAGTCCCGGCTAGAACTCCACGCAAACGACTAGGAGCCCGCTAAAGCTCACCCAGCCTGAATTCAATTCTGAAACCAGACTGCTGAATCTCACCCAGCCGTCGGGACGCCCCAGACGGCGTCCAAAGCCTCCAGGGGACGCGCGGACCCTACAACGGCCAGGCAGCGGCCCGGGCCTGCAGCGGTCGTTGGTCGTCGGCGTAAGCGTGTCAGGAAAATAACACGAAATGCAGCACAGGTGGGAAGCGGCCGGAAGGCAGCGGGGGAGAGCGGAAATAAGGCGGAGAGCGCAGGGCGCCGCGGGGCGGAAGAGGCCGCCAGACGCCCCAAAGAGACTGGCCGCTGGGCCCTCACCATGCAGCGCCTGGGTGACGGCGAGGGCGCCTTCTGGCCGGATGCTGCCGGGGCAGGAAGCAGCGTCTCGGACACTTGCCCTCCCACTGCTCGACGGGGCTGGGGAAGGACGAGGGTGAACCCCGCAGCCACCGCCGCCAGCCCCCACTGTGTATTCGGCGTGAGAGTGAGCCGGGCACTATCCAGCCGTTAGCAGTGGTCTGGTAGTGACCCCGTTTCCCCTTTCCCCTCCTCACCCCTTCGGGTCTTCAAATGTTGGTCCTAAATCCCGGGGCCCAACGACCAAAAACCGCCGCCACCGTTTAGGGGACCAGTCGGTCAGAGCGAGGGGGGGTCGTCGCAGGGGGAGGGTAGCCCACCGGGACCGCTCGCGCTGGTCCTCGTGTCTCCACTCGTTTCCCAGCGCGCAGCGCGCGCGGTGGCCTAAGCAGCCCCACGAGGAGTGGTGCCTCATCCAATCAGGGATTAGCTTCGGGGCGGGGCGAGGAGGAGAGAGTGGGGCTAAAGTTTAAATGAGGCTCTTGGGCTAGTCAAAGTGCTTGGAGTGACAGGCATTTCGAGCAATTGGGGTGAAGAGAGCGATTTTTAGGGTGTGGGTGGGCACGGAATAATAAATGAAGGTCCTAGGTGCATTGTTTAGGTGTTTGAAGACGAGGGCTGCAGTGTGAAATTCCGCACTTAAGGGAAAACATAGATGCATCGTAATGGTTCTTTTTCTTGTTTGATGTAGTTTTCTTGTAAACTGCTAGTTTGGCGCAAAACAACCACATATATCCGGTGGACCTTTGAAATTAAGGGCTAGGGGGAGGTGGGTTATAAAGCTAAAAGATGGATTTGCAAATAGGACTAGAAGTATAAAGTATAAGTGGTTTAAATGACAATGACTAAGAAAATGGGTTAGATGAGGAGAACTAGCGATAGGCTTGACGCTACCACTAATCAGCTTGCAGGGACATTTGGCAGAGGCGAACTGCCGAACTGGGTTCTATGCTCTTGTAAAACCAACTTTCACAGATAGGGTTGTTTGGCATTCGGTATGCATAACTTCAGTTTTGCTTCCTTTGAAGACAGCTCGAAATTAAATGCAGACAAGGAAAGAAAAAACCACCTTTAGGAACCAACTATTTATGTATAGATAATATTAGATTCATGGAATATTAGACAATAAAGAACCTAGCTCATGTTGATTCTCTAATTAACAAGGAACTTCATGCCCAGAATATTCACCGAGTAACACAGATCTCCTTATTCCCAACCTCAAGGTGATTTCTTCCACATTAACTCCTAATGTATTTTCTCCATATATTCAAGGAACTAATGAATGTCTACCAATTTAAATTTTGTTAAAGTATATTTTTAATTTTTAAATATACTACAACAGTGAGGAATTAGCAGGGACTTTGGAGCCAGACAGACCCTGTTTAAAGTGGGGATTGTGAGAATAAAATAATATATGATATTACCAAATATTGAGCCAGATGCCAGAAACAATCCTAAGGACTTTTCATATTTTCATTTAATTCTCACAGTAACTTTGGTAAAGTTACTAGCCCTACTTTGCAGACGGGGAAACAGATGCAGAAACCTTAAGTAGTTTGGGCAAAGTCATATAGCAAGTAAGTGGCTCCAGTTTGAAACCTACAGACATAATTGCTATACTATACTGTCTCAAAATACGTCCAGAAACAAGTAGAAAACTTGGCATAGTACTTGATGCACACTGGAAGCTCAACAAATATTTTTTGTAAGCCGTCTGCCCTTTAGTCAATGAATACAAGTGTCATTTTATATAAGATGTATGCATTCAAAATAAAGCAACTAGAAAACCTAGACTGATAGATCTAGTTGGCTTTGTTTGACATGTCACCAATTCTGTACCTCGGGAACTGTGATTGTTATATTGATTACTATTTTTTGCTGCTCTTTTATTTCTCCAGAAAAAGATTCTCCTCATTCTTCATTTTCATGTCGGTACCTTCTCAATTCCTAGTAATTAATTCTAAATACATGTGTTTAAGGTTAAATTATCTGAAATGAGGTTAGGCATATTAGTGGCAATTTAAAACAAGTAATTTCTAGGAATGGCTGTAAGATCCTTAAGGAGTCACTAGGTGGAGATGTTGTGAGGTACAAAGATTGTTCTTGGAAATAGCCTGGAAGGTTGTTGAACATTGCTGGTTTTCTTGTTTCCCTTTTTGTCTTTTTTCTCCCCAAGTATAAAGAAAACCAAATAGACAAGGGCTTCTCAATAGGCATTACAGTCAGACCATAGAACCTTGCCATAGATGAGACAGTGTTGTTTAAAGACCCTTCCCATACTTAACATTGTATGTCATTTTGGTTAGATTTTGTCTAAGTTTTTATTATCCTAAAGTTTATTAATAGGTATACTTTTCAAATGCTATAAAAACTATTGTCTGCATGTACAATTAAAGAAATGACCTTTAACTTTATTTCTCAAGGCTCCCAGAGAAAGAGATCCAAAACACTTTTATCAGCTAGAATTCTTCAGTAACAGATTCCAAATTGGATTTGTTTTAAGATTATTTGAGCTTATGGGAAAAGGTGACCCAAATGAGTAAGAAGGAAGATGATAAGCAATGTAAAGGTGTTTGTGACTAAAAAGAAGTGTCGAAAGATACTTGGCATACAAGGGAGAAAATAGAAGGGGATCTCTGCAAACACCAGAAAGAGAAATAATAGTGACTGTGTGACATGGGAAGTAAAAGTTATCAATAAAAAATTGGAAGGAGCCGGGTGTGGTGGCACACACCTGTAGTCCTAACTACTTTGAGTTAGGCTGAGACAAGAGGATCACTTAAGCCCAGGAGTTTGAGGCTGCAGTGAGCTATGACCGTGCCACAGCACTCCAGCCTGGATGACAGAGCGAAACCCTGTCTCAAAAAAAAAAAAAAAAAAAAGGAAGAGATGCAAAATTCAAGTGGTTAAAAATAGTCTGAATACATGTATTTTCCCCATATAAAATGCAAGCTTTTATATCACTTAGAAGTTAAGATGCAAGCTTTTATATCACTTAGAAGTTATTTTCATATACATTCTGCAAAATACACCCCCTGACAAAGGAAAGAGAAGCAATGGGAAATCTTTAAAATGTTTAACATCCAACTTAGTCCTCTGTTCCATATAAATGAGCCTGTGCAGTGATCTGGTTTATTTTCCATGTGTTGGAGCTTCTTCAGCTTCCTTTATCACTGTGGCAGTGATATGACACAGATCCACCAAAAACATGGCAGCTACTTGCATGTTTATAGAATTAATGATCTACAGCACATCGCTCAGGAACAAGGAACTCTTTAATGTGGTGAATCTTCAATTGAAATGTCATCTCAAACCTGTTTTGGAAGTGTGGATTTGGGGTTTTGTTTTATTTTATGTGTGTAGTAAGTATGTTTATTCTAATTCACTGACCCTTACTTTCTTATCCTGGTTTAATGCATTCTGCCTGACAGATGAATTTGAACTTTTCATTATACTGGAAGGTGAGCATCAGCACCAAGATGACTATATGTGGCGGGAGAGGCGCATTAACATTGCTTTTTTCCAGTTATGGTGATGAGCCATATTTACATCCTGTCAGTGTACCCCCTATGATTAACAACCTCACTTCCCAAGGCAGCAAATCAGAACCTGAGATCTTCTTCACATGTAGCTAATGGCCTATATATGGACCAAACCCATGACCAAGGCCTCAGTTGACATAGGGGCAAACTAAAGGAAGTACTCATAAAGCTAACCCTTTTCAGATTGGTATAAGTTGTTAGTTAACATCAGGATCCACTTATCTAATTATTAAAAATAAATACATAAATAAACCACAATAATAGAAATAGGTGATGCGAAAGGAAATACACATTTTTCTCTGAGAGATCTAGGATTAACTCACAACATAAGAAACTAATATATGTAATAAAAAATAAGTTTCTGATAATGAAGACTGATTAACTTTGGTTGAGAGAGAATGTGATTAAATCTTTCCTGTCTTATCTCACTGGATAAGTTTGGTAGTGTGCTTCCCTGGGTAACAAGTTACAATGAAAACTAGAGCTGTAAGACACCTTAGCAACCATTTGGCTGGGAAAGCTGAAATTAACTTGCCCCAAGTCAAAGAGCCAGTCAGCAGCAATACTGGATCTCCAACTCCTCTCTTCTAACTTTCATTCTGATACTCTGGTTCTCCCAGAAACTTTTAAATTGCATTTTAAGTTTTTTTAAGCCATCATAAATATATTCCATGAAGAAAATTATTTTGGTTGAGGACAACAGGGCCAGCATTGGTTCAGGCACTTCAGTACACCTGGCCATGAAGGATGTGTGAGGCAAAGCACTTTCTTAGGCATGACATTTCTCTCTTAGCACTCCATGGATGGCATCTTCCCTGGATGATTCCAGCTGGGACAGTCCAACTCTGTCATTTGTCACTGCAGAGGAAGCAGAGAGAGACTCCCGTTTGGTGCCCAAGAGGGCACTTTGCTTGCATTTCTCAAATGCAGGAAATAAGGAGAGTCCATGGAACTCGAAGGGGAAAGAGGAATGCCATTATGACCCATAATGCAGTCTGGGTTCTAAACTAAGCATCAGATCTTTCTAATGAGTCACTGTATCTCTCTTAATTTGCATTGATCAGCTTGTATCCACAGTCACTAGGGCATCCCTGAAATCACGGGCTTTTTATGTTTTGCCACCTTTTACGTATTCCACTCCAATTCTGATTCTTAATAAATTAGATACATTTCTCTCAACCTGTGTCTTAACAACACTGAATTACTAAACCCTTCTGACGAGAAAAAAGAAAAAAGGCCAAAAAGCAGTCTTGTTCTGCTGTCAGAATAATTAATTCAAATGTAAACTTTTGAAACATCTACAATCTGTAATTCTGGTTTTCACCTGAGTCCTGTGGCCCTATGTATGTTTGGCAGGCTAACCAGACTGAGTTAGAACTTCCTCTCTGATGCAGTCCAGTAGCTCTGTGTAACCCAAATAGAGGTCTTTAGTTCTATTAATAAATGTTATTCTATGAGATAGAATAACTCTGTAGTATGTGTTTAGTGGGGTAAAGATTGGGTGAGTAGTTTATAGGTCAATTAGTTGGAGGTTCAAGTGGTAAGAAGGGAGTGATCAGTGGAATGACTAAGACATAAATTCAGAATGGGTGTTCAGAAGATTGATTCAGAAGATCAAATGAAGATCAAATGAATGAAATGAAGCAAGAAGAGAAGTTTAGAGAAAAAAAGCATGAAAAAAACGAACAGAGCCTCCAAGAAATATGGAGTATGTGAAAAGACCAAATCTACGTCTGATTGGTGTACCTGAAAGTGACAGGGAGAGTGGAACCAAGTTGGAAAACACTCTGCAGGATATTATCCAGGAGAACTTCCCCAATCTAGCAAGGCAGGCCAACATTCAAATTCAAGAAATATAGAGAACGCCACAAAGATACTTCTTGAGAAGAGCAACTCCAAGACACATAATTGTCAGATTCACCAAAGTTGAAATGTTGGAAAAAATTTTAAGGGCAGCCAGAGAGAAAGGTCGGGTTACCCACAAAGGGAAGCCCATCAGACTAACAGCAGATCTCGTGGCAGAAACTCTACAAGCCAGAAGAGAGTGGGGGCCAATATTCAACATTCTTAAAGAAAAGAATTTTCAACCCAGAATTTCATATCCAGCCAAACTAAGCTTCATAAGTGAAGGAGAAATAAAGTCCTTTACAGACAAGCAAATGCTGAGAGATTTTGTCACCACCAGGCCCGCCCTACAAAGAGCTCCTGAAGGAAGCACTAAACATGGAAAGGAACAACCGGTACCAGCCACTGCAAAAACATGCCAAATTGTAAAGACCATCAATGCTAAGAAGAAACTGCATCAACTAACAAGAAAAATAACGAGTTAACATCATAATGACAGGATCAAATTCACACATAACAATATTAACCTTAAATGTAAATGCTCCAATTAAAAGACCTAGACTGGCAAATTGGATAAAGAGTCAAGACCCATCAGTGTGCTGTATTCGGGAAACCCATCTCACGTGCAGAGACACACATAAGCCCACAATAAAGGGATGGAGGAAGATCTACCAAGCAAATGGAAAACAAAAAAAGGCAGGGGTTGCTATCCTAGTCTCTGATAAAACAGACTTTAAACCAACAAAGATCAAAAGAGACAAGACCATTACATAATGGTAAAGGGATCCATTCAACAAGAAGAGCTAACTATCCTAAATAGATATGCACCCAATACAGGAGCACCCAGATTCATAAAGCAAGTCCTTAGAGACCTACAAAGAGACTTAGACTCCCACACGATAATAATGTGAGACTTTAACACCCCAGTGTCAACATTAGACAGATCTACAAGACAGAAAGTGAAAAAGGATATCCAGGAATTGAACTCAGCTCTGCACCAAGCAGACCTAATAGACATCTACAGAACTCTCCACCCCAAATCAACAGAATATACATTCTTCTCAGCACCACATTGCACTTATTCCAAAATTGACCACATCGTTGGAAGTAAAGCACTCCTCAGCAAATGTAAAAGAACAGAAATTGTAACAAACCGTCTCTCAGACCACAGTGCAATCAAACCAGAACTCAGGATTAAGAAACTCACTCAAACCGCTCAACTACATGGAAACTGAACAACCTGCTCCTGAATGACTACTGGGTACATAATGAAATAAAGGCAGAAATAAAGATGTTCTTTGAAACCAGTGTGAACGAAGACACAACATACCAGAATCTCTGGGACACATTTAAAGCAGTGTGTAGAGGGAAATTTATAGCACTAAATGCCCACAAGAGAAAGCAGGAAAGATCTAAAATTGACACCTTAACATCACAATTAAAAGAACTAGAGAGGCAAGAGCAAACACATTCAAAAGCTAGCAGAAGGCAAGAAATAACTAAGATCAGAGCAGAACTGAAGGAGATAGAGACACAAAAAAACCTTCAAAAAATCAGTGAATCCAGGAGCTGGTTTTTTGAAAAGATCAAGAAAATTGATAGACCGCTAGCAAGACTAATAAAGAAGAAAAGAGAGAAGAATCAAATAGACGCAATAATAAATGATAAAGGGGATATCACCACCAATCCCACAGAAATACAAACTACCATCAAAGAATACTGTAAATACCCTACACAGATAAACTAGAAAAACTAGAAGAAATGGATAAATTCCTGGACACATACACCCTCCCAAGACTAAACCAGGAAGAAGTTGAATCCCTCAATAGACCAATAACAGGCTCTGAAATTGAGGCAATAATTAATAGCCTACCAACCAAAAAAAGTCCAGGACCAGACGGATTCACAGCCGAATTCTATCAGAGGTATAAGGAGGAGCTGATACCATTCCTTCTGAAACCATTCCAATCAATAGAAAAAGAGGGAATCCTCCCCAACTCATTTTATGAGGCCAGCATCATCCTGATACCAAAGCCTGGCAGAGACACAACAAAAAAAGAGAATTTTAGACCAATATCCCTGATGAGCATCAATGCAAAAATCCTCAATGAAATACTGCAAACCGAATCCAGCAGCACATCAAAAAGCTTATCCACCATAATCAAGTGGGCTTCATCCCTGGGATGCAAGGCTGGTTCAACATACGCAAATCAATAAATGTAATCCATCATATAAACAGAACCAAAGACAAAAACCACATGATTATCTCAATAGATGCAGAAAAGGCCTTTGACAAAATTCAACAACCCTTCATGCTAAAAACTCAATGAATTAGGTATTGATGGGACGTATCTCAAAATAATAAGAGCTATTTATGACAAACCCACAGCCAATATCCTACCGAATGGGTAAAAACTGGAAGCATTCCCTTTGAAAACTGGCATAAGACAGGGATGCCCTCTCTCACCACTCCAGTCAACATAGTGCTGGAAGTTCTGGCCAGGGCAATCCGGCAGGAGAAAGAAATAAAGGGTATTCAATTAGGAAAAGAAGAAGTTAAGTTGTCCCTGTTTGCAGATGACATGATCGTATATTTAGAAAACCCCATCGTCTCAGCCCAAAATTTCCTTAAGCTGAGAGGCAACTTCAGCAAAGTCTCAGGATATAAAATGAATGTGCAAAAATCACAAGCATTCTTATACACCAATAACAGCAAACAGCCAAATCATGAGTGAACTCCCATTCACAATTGCTACAAAGAGAGTAAAATACCTAGGAATCCAGCTTACAAGGGATGTGAAGGACCTCTTCAAGGAGAAATACAAACCACTGCTCAACGAAATAAAAGAGGACACAAACAAATGGAAGAACATTCCATGCTCATGGATAGGAAGAATCAATATGAAAATAGCCATACTGCCAAAGGTAGTTTATAGATTCAATGCCATCCCCATCAAGCTACCAATGACTTTCTTCACAGAATTAGAAAAATCTACTTTAAAGTTCATATGGAACCAAAAAAGAGCCTGCATTGCCAAGACAATCCTAAGCAAAAAGAACAAAGCTGGAGACATCACACTACCTGACTTCAAACTATACTACAAGGCTACAGTAACCAAAACAGCATGGTACTGATACCAAAACAGACATATAGACCAATGGAACAGAACAGAGCCCTCAGAAATAATACCACACATCTACGACCATCTGATCTTTGACAAACCTGACAAAAACAAGAAATGGGGAAACGATTCCCTATTTAATAAATGGTGCTGGGAAAACTGGCTAGCCATATGTAGAAAGCAGAAACTGGATCCCTTCCTTACAGCTTATATGAAAATTAATTCAAGGTGGATTAAAGACTTAAATGTTAGACATAGGCAGTACCATTTAGGACGTAGGCATGGGCAAGGACTTCATGTCTAAAACACCAAAAGCAATGGCAACAAAAGCCAAAATTGACAAATGGGATCTAATTAAACTAAAGAGCTTCTGCACAGCAAAAGAAACTACTAACAGAGTGAAAAGCAACCTACAGAATGGGAGAGAATTTTTGCAATCTACTCATCTGACAAAGGGCTAATATCCAGAATCTACAAAGAACTCAAACAAACTTATGAGAAAACAAACAACCCCATCAAAAAGTGGGCGAAGGATGTGAACAGACACTTCTCAAAGGAAGACATTTATGCAGCCAACAGACACATGAAAAAATGCTCATCATCACTGGCCGTCAGAGAAATGCAAATCAAAACCACAGCGAGATACTATCTCACACCAGTTAGAATGGCGATCATTAAAAAGTCAGGAAACAACAGGTGCTGGAGAGGATGTGGAGAAATAGGAACACTTTTACACTGTTGGTGATACTGTAAACTAGTTCAACCATTGTGGAAGACAGTGTGGTGATTCCTCAAGGATCTAGAACTAGAAATCCCATTTGACCCAGCCATCCCATTACTGGGTATATACCCAAATGATTATAAATCATGCTGCTATAAAGACACAGGCATACGTATGTTTATTGCGGCACTATTCACAACAGCAAAGACGGAGCCAACCCAAATGTCCATCAATGATAGACTGGATTAAGAAAATGTGGCACATATACACCATGGAATACTATGCAGCCATAAAAAGGATGAGTTAATGTCCTTTGTAGGGACATGGATGAAGCTGGAAACCATCATTCTTCAGCAAACTATCACAGGGACGAAAAAACAAACACCGCATGTTCTCACTCATAGGTGGGAATTGAACAATGAGAACACTTGGACACAGGCTGGGGAACATCACACATCAGGGCCTGTCATGGGGTAGGGGGAGGGTGGAGGGATAGCATTAGGAGATATACCTAATGTAAATGACGAGTTAATGGGTGCAACACACCAACATGGTGCATGTATACATATGTAACAAACCTGCACGTTGTGCTCATGTACTCTAGAACTTAAAGCATAAAAATAAATAAATAAATAAATAAAAATAAAAGTGTTCCTTTAAAAAAAATAGGAGCGGAATGACATTTGTAATGTCTAGAGTTTAGAGAAGTCTTGGATAAAGTATGTTGAAATTGATGGGCATGTGACTCTAAAATTAGGTTTTAGACAATCTATGTGGCTCTTATTCATTTATCCCTTGATGGAAATTATGGTGAAGCTTAAATTCCTGCAGATCCTAAAGGAAATTTTTCAGCCAGCCTTCTCTTTAGCCTCTGGAAGTATTCTTAGCTGGCACAGAGACTTCATCCCCTTCATCACTGGAAAAGTGGTTCAAGGGCATGTTCAACATTGCTCAACAAATATTTGTCTGAAACTTCCTGATTTCTAATAATGATAGCAAGTCTAATGAGTTGTACTTCAAAACATTTTTTGAGTCAAAGTGATAAGGTGGAAACACAGTGGGCTTTGGAATGAGACAGGTCAAATGCTGGCAGTGTGACTTCGGACATGAATTATTTAGTTTCCCAAGTCTCCACTTTTACATAAGTTACTTTTTTTTTTTTTTTTTTAGCAATATTGTCTCCCTTGTCTGATTGTTGTCTGGAATAAGGAAGATGCTGTGTCTGTCATGATGGGCTGGGTTATGCTGCAATAATAAACAGTCCCACAAATTCCAGCTTAAAACAACAAAGTGTATTTCTCTCTGGAGCTGTGGTGTCTGTAGCTCTGATCCTAAGCAGTCATCCTTCAGCTCTTTACTCAGGAGTCAAGACTGATGGAGCATCACTGGTTGTTACATTGCAGGTTGCCATGGCAGAGAGAAAGGAGACTCTGCAGGGTCCTGCATGGGCAAGTCAGTGCTAGGTTCTAAAATGGCAAGTCTTTTTCAGGTACAGGCTGTGATACAGGTGGTGGTCAATTTCAGATTCACTGTATCTTCTAAGAAACTGGTGCAGAGTCCTCCTCTTCCTCATGCAGGTTACCTTCTGGGACATTCCAGCATCTGCAGGGCCATTAGGACTACATGTACCCATGTGCCTGCCCCTTTCTGGCATGGAACCTGGGAATGGACCGTCATAGTCTAGTGGGATCAGCCCATCTTTGATCAACTTCCAGATCTGCTGGCTAGAGTTGGCATTGACTGTTTGGTTGGTTTCACTGGGATCCTATGAGGCCTTTTCGTCATGGCAGAGGATGCTGGAGGCATGCCTCTTCGGTTGCCTGAGCAAGATGTATGGCTGTGGCCATGGTACTCAAAGAAAAATAACATATCTGACTTTTTTTCTCTTAAAAATTACATTATCTTTTAGGTGAATGAGAATCAAGCAGATTCTCCTGAAACACATCCGCAAGCTGAAGGCAGAGAAGGCCTGCAAGAAGCCCCTGGCTAACCAGATAGGCCCCCAAGGTTAAGACCAAGGAAGTACAGGAGTGCCCCGAGGAGCCACTTCAGGCCAAGAAGGAGGTAACCAAGACTCTGTCCAAGCAGGAAGAGATGAAGACATGAAGGCCCCCCTCTCTTATGTAAGCATAGTGGTTAATGTGGTTTGGCTCTGTGTCCCCACCCAAATCTCATTTCAAGTTGTAATCCCTGTGAGTCCAGGGAGGGTCCTGGTGGCAGGTGACTGGGTCATGGGGGCAGTTTCCCCCATGCTGTTCTCATGATAGGGAGTTCTCACAAGATCTGATGGTTTAAAAGTGGCAGTTTCCCCTGGACTCTCTCTTTCTCCTGCTGCCTTGTGAAGAAGGTGCTTTCTTCCCCTTCATCTTCTGCCATAATTGTAAGTTTCCTGAGGCATCCCCAGCTATAGGGAACTGCAAGTCAATTAAACATCTTTTTTTTTTTTATAAATTACCCAGTCTCAGGTAGTATCTTTATAGCAATGTGAAAATGGGCTAATTATATCTATCAGTCACTCAGTAAAACAAGCCTTCATCTGCCATAAGAAAAAAGATAACATTATAATTAGCCGAATAAATATATGTGTTGGATTTTGTTTTAGTAAGGCATGTGTGAGTTGATTATGTACCGTTTGTTGTCATGTCTGAACACAACCTCCTATGATATGTATGTACACGGTTAAAAAACACACGAAACCTAGATACTGTTTAGGCTGAGAACTAGAATGACCACAGGGGCGGTCAGCTTCTCACCTATGGGGTGGACACTGTCAGGTAAAGTTAATAAGAAGTCACTCAGTAAAGATTTAACACTAGATTTCTCTTTACAGTAGAAACTTACCTCACTAATTCAGATTAAAAGGAGGAAAAGGGATTTTGTCTTGAGAAAAAATTAAAATATTTTATATGTCCAGACTAACAATAAGCATTTACCGTTTTATACAGAAATTTGAAAAATAAATTCTGACCAAATGACTTCTTTTGAGAACAGATTTATTGAATACATAAGAGTGATTTATAGTGTACTTGCAAGTAAATGGGTATAAATAAATGACTTCTTAAGAAGTGTTTGGGATCTTTAAATGATTGTCTAAAGTAATTTAAGTATTCTGTCTTGTACCCTTGGCCATGCTACTAATTTTTTTAAACTCTTGCAGAACTAAACCTTAGCCCATCCCTGTCAGGAATGTCACAAAATACAAATTGTTGAGATCTGAATTAATGAGACTTTAGGTATATCAGTACATAATTTAAAGCCACTATGTTACTGGTCTTAGTAGTGACAAGGGAATAAGCAAATTGAATGTGTTACCAATTGTTAATTCATACTGAGGTTGCCAATTTACGCATTAAGAACTTAAGAATAAAGGAAGTAGGGATTTAATACAATGGGAGAAGATACTGAATGAGTTCTTTTTTTTTCCCTTTCCCACCTCCTATGATAGATTTATTATTTTTCTGCTGATATGAAAATGATATATTCTATTTGACTAACCCACTACAACCTATACCTATCAACATTTGTGTTTTCTTTCTGATTAAGACAGGGACTTCAGAACTCTCTCAGCTCCCTCTTTTCTTCCCCACTTCCCCAGCCAAACTACACATACCTGCTTTGTTGCTGTTACATGGAATTTTAGTTTTGGATCATCATTACACACACACACACACACACACACTCACACACACATTTTTTTCTTAAACATTATTTAAATTAGTTATTTACTCAACCCTTATTCCTGTATGACTGCCTAGATTTATTTCTCTTAGGATATTTTTTCCAATAGTCTTTTCAAAATTGGGCTTTGAATACAAACTTTTTGAGCCTTGAATGTCTGACATCATCATATTTCTTGCTCCATCATTTTTAGATATTAGTTTTTCTAGGTATAAATTCTTTTTACATCAGTACCTTGAAATAGTACTTCATTATGTTTTTGCCTCCAGTGTTATTATGGATGAGTCTGATGTCAACCTAATCTTGTTCTTTTGAAGATTTTATGTTCTTCCTTTATGTAATCACTTATTATTTCTCTCTCTTTGATCTTAAATTTTATCACAATGTATCAAGGTATAGGGTTTTTTTCATCTATTTTGTTGAGTTATCTATGATAATCCATCTGAAGATTGAAATCTGAAGGATCAGAGATTTTTATCTTTCTTTGATTCTAGACTATTGTCAGTCTGTTAATATTTCCTTCTTTCTACTTAATTGTTTTCCTCATCAAGGTTTGCTGTGAGTTACGTGACATGTTTGTGTCTCTCCTACATCTCCCACAAATAGCTCTTTTGTATTTCCTACTCCTTAAAATAGTAATAGCTTATATTTATGCAGGATTAGTTATTTGCCAGAGACTCTTATGTGTACTGTGCATATATTAACTCATTTAATCCTCATTACAATCATATAGTGTAGGTACTATTATTATCTACCCATTTTATAGATGAAAAAAAGTCATTACATATTAGTTAAGTGAATTGCTCAGAGCATTTCAGCTAATATTTGGCAGAGTTGAGATTTGAACCCAGGCTTCGGGATCCAGGGTTGCACACTTTTAACCACTACGCCATGTGGCCTTTTATTTGTCCCTGATGCTATTGGTAAAGTTCTTTGACTTTGTAGCTTTCAGCTCCTAATTAACTTATTGGTTGTATCTGTTCTGCTATTTATCTTTCCTGTTGAGATTTTACTTTAAATCATATTTTTAATACATAACTGTTTCCACCTTTTTTTTTAATAACTACTAGTTCTTGCTTCGTGTTACTGTTAGCCTCCTTTATTTCTTGGAGAATATATGTTAGTTTAGTTTCATTTAGAAGATATTAACTTAATCTACTATAGCTTGTTTATTGTGTAGGTGTTGCCCTATTTGGTTATCTAATATTCTTTGTGAGTTTATAGTCACATCTGCAGTCTTCATTAGTAATGTGAATTGGCGGCAAAGGACAGTGTACCCTTCTTAGTTATTTAAGGAGTCAGCAGCTGGCCATCAGCCAGTAGAGTCTTCCTATGTTTTAGTCATAGTACCCAGTGCTCATGGAATGAATAGAGAAGAAGGGACAACTCCAGGACCTGCCTCTATTTTTATCTACTCTTCACCACAGCCAACACAACCCTGATGTAACTCTCCCACTAGGTGCCCTAGCTAGTGCTGACATTTTCCTGCTTCTCTGTCAAAGTTGTATTCCACCCAGTAGAATTTGAGAGAATGAAATTATATCACACAAGCTCTTCCCAAAATTTCTCCCACAATGATGTCCACCCTGCTACATCCTGACTGCTGTTTTTTGCCAAAACATTTTTAGTCTTCTCAGAGTTTCTCACATTTTTAACAATAGGTTTTTATATCCTTTGAGGTCTGTCTTGAAATTGTGACATCTCCAGGGTTTGGTCCTGGGGAACTGCTTGCTGCCAATGCAAAGTAGCCATCTAATGAGGAACCAGAAACCCTGAACTCAGTCGTTAAATAAATATAGAAGTGGGAAGATAATGTTTTTGACATAATACAAATAAACAATTCATAATGTTAATGAATATTATCCCTCAGTGGTACTGAATTGATAAGCTTATTTTGTCATTTCTTGCTAATGATACTTGCAAACCTGTAAGGACGGACTCCAAGGCTTCCCTCTTTTTTCATCACCCCATCTCCTTAGAGGAAGTTTAATGGAGGAAGTATAAATAGACTATAAATGGAACTTGGCTTCTGTAACCATCTTCTGCTATTCTTTCTTTCTCTTTTGCCATCATGCAATTAGGGTGAGCTGAAAGTGGGCATGGTGGTGTCCAGGGGATGAAAAGCTGGTTATGGATTTGGGCTTGTAACCCTGGCCCCAACAAACTGACCTGGTGAACATTGGACAAATGTGGCAGCACTGGGTTTTCATTCTGTTATTAATTTTGATGATGTTTGAAGAAGTAATTGAAAAATGGTTAATTTTCAGAAAAGTGATCCTATTTTCCCATTTATTAAAATCCTAAAAGAATAGGTTTAAAATAATATATTTTATAAAGTTTAACAGATGTTTTATCTTCTGGACAGAAACACACAAGGAAGATGAAACATTTAATAAAAGGAGAAAATACGGGCCAGGTGCGGTGGCTCACACCTGTAATCCTAGCACTTTGGGAGGCCAAGGTAGGTGGATCACCTCAGGTCAGGAGTTCAAGACTGACCCTGTCTCTACTAAAAAAAAAAAAAATACAATATTAGCCAAGCGTGGTAGTGCATGCCTGTAATCCCAGCTACTTGGGAGGCTGAGGCAGGAGAACCACCTGAACCTGGGAGGTGGAGGTGGCAGTGGCAGTGGCAGTGAGCCAAGATCACACCATTGTACTCCAGCCTGGGCAACAAGAGTGAAACTCCATCTTAAAAAAGCAAAAAGGAGAAAATACAAATCATAACTATCATTTATTGAGCACTTACTTTGTTAGACACTGTACCAGAACTTTAAATACCTTATCTCATTTATTCTTCACTGCAATTCTATGAAAATTGCTATTATTATCTCTATTTTACCTAGAAGGAAGCTAAAGCTTAGAGAGTTTAGGTTTCTTTGTTTTGTTTTGTTTCAGCTATCAGTTTATTGACTTATAGAGTCTGTCAACTTGGGTAAGCTGACAGACTCTATAAGGAATCTGGAAACTCAGGAAAATAGCCAAATTGACTAACCCTATTTTAGAAATGTTGGCTAATGAATGTGCTGAAGGGTGCAGGTGACTATTTCCAGAATTTGTAGTGAGAATCCCATAGATCACCAACAGGCATCACCCTTTACTTCTGAGCACCACAAACAACTTCTCATTCAAGTAACTGGTATTTCATTAGCCTAATTATCACAGTAATGAATTGCCATAATGTTGGAAAACATATCTGAGAAGTTGGAAATTTATTTATAAAGTGATGTCTTATGTGTGCAGGTATACACATACGTACATATATATTTGTCCATAGGTATATACGTGTGTGTGTATATATATATATATAGATATATAATATATCTATATATATATATCTAGCCTAAATATATATATATCTGTATATGTATTTATATATATATATATAAAATAAGATACCGTAAAAACAACACAGTGAGCACTTAATTGCTTGGTGTGTGGGACTGGTTTTTGTTTTCCTCCCCATGAGACTAGTAGTATTGAAGGACTTGGTACGCCTACTGGACTCACGCTATCCTGGTAGCAAGCTCTGGAAGAGACACCAGAGGCAAAATAGCCACCATATTTAAGAAACCGTATTGTCACTGCAAAGCTGCTGCTCATTGTTTTGTGGTTCATTCATATACCTAGACCTTTCAAAGAAATAGAAAAATGATCCGCCAGGTGTTCCTCAAGGCTGTCCACAATTAAGAAACATTTTCTCTGGTAGCTTGCAGAAGAAAATTAGGGGTGGAAAAGAAGACTTCTCTTAACAATTTATTTATTCTGCAGACCTTGATGGACCATCCCTCACTATTTGTTATGGTACTAAATCCTGCAGAATACAAGTAAAGGTATAATGTATACCAGCCCTGTCTCTGGTCTATCTCTAAGAAATAATTATAAAATTATTTATAGATCTTGTATCTCATGGCAGGTTTTTCAAAATTTGATTGTGTCTAAGAATTGTCCTAGGTGTTTATCAAAAATGCAGATTTCACAACCCTCATATATTTTAAATCAGGAGAATTAGCCAGTGGCATTAGGTCAGCTGCATATAAGACAGCAATCTAAAATAACTTCAACTGCTTCAATAAGTTAGCAGCTTATTTCCTCTGGAGGAAGACAGTCCAAGCCCGACCTGCTGGCACCATAGGGACCCAAGGTTCTTTCTGTTTTACCACCCTATGTGCCTGGCTTCCATCCACAGAGTCACCTCATGATCTGGAATGGCTTCTTGTTTCTAGCCATGCTGTCCACTTACAGGCTAGCAGCAAGAGAAACGGGAGAAGAAAACTTTGTATTCTTTCCCATTGAAGGAGGCTTCCTGGAATTCCTGCACAGCATATCTCCTTTTATTTGATTGGCCAAAACTTTGTCACATGGAAAAGAAGGCCAAGTGTATGGCTAATTCCACTTAAGTCAAGATCATCTTACTAAAGAGGAAAGGGACTATGATGTTGGGGTAGCCAACTAGTAAGCTCCAGTAGATGTAGAATGTTGCCCCAGGAACCTGAAATTTTAACAAGTTTCCTGAGAAATTCTGATGCAAGCGGCTCATGGAATGCACATTAAGTAACAGTATCATAGGAAATCAGAATAAGGGGGAAATTGGCTGATGTTATGGCGGTTTTTTAAAGTCTATTTGATGGAGGCAGTAAGCCCAAGGAAAATGTACTCTCCTTTATAATGAATATTGGAAAATTGGGTATCAGTGTTAATTAAAAATTTTAATTAACTAAGTATTGCCTTATTGTATGTGTGTTATTTTTCCAAATATTTAGAAGAAACACTGAGCACACACATGTACACACACACAGATTGATCTGTGCGAATCTTTCAGGTGGAAAGACAAGTGAATCTTTCAGGTGGAATCTTGAATGATGTAAAACCTCAGAATTATCAGTACGATTGCTAATTATAACTGAACAGTTATTTTACTTTTCTAAGTTCTGATTTCAGAGAAAGAGGTGTTCATTTATAAAACATGCTTTGGTTTGTATTCCTGGCTTCTATTATTTAGGCTACACTTCCCTTCCTCCTCCTTTCCCTGACAAACAAACTTTCTTGTTGGGCAGCTTTGACCAAAAAAAAAAAAAAAAAAAAAAAAAAAGCACTTTACAGCCCATATCCTTTCTCTTCATAAACTGATTGCTTTAAAAGAACCATCACATCCAGTTGCTGTGAGCCAAGCCAGTCTGGCCATTACTGGAATTTCCAAAAGTTCCAAAAGTTCGGCAGCTGGGTCAGATCAGTCCAATGGAGTGGGTAGAGGGACTAACAGCCACCCCAGGGCTCATGGTGCCACCCAGAAACCACAGGGCCTGGACGTGCTCCCCAAAGTTTGGCAGCAGGAGGGCCAAGCAGCTGCTTTGATTCTGAGAGCTCAGTTGTGGTGCAGAAGCTAGAAGACACAAGGATCTCTTTAATAAACGTTATCAGAAAGAATTGATATGTAGGTACTAGGAGGAACTGTAAGCCTAGAAATACTGTTCAGAATATGAAGGGGGTGATACTACCTACAGCCTCTTGGTTAGCATTTATTAAGGACATCTATGTGCCAAGCCCACTGGAGGGCTCAACATACTTTAACCTTCACAGTAATCCTGAGAGGTAAGTAGTAATACCCCCATTTATACTAGAGAAAATTAAAACAGATAATTTTCAGTGGATGTAATAACTTTCAATGGGGATCATTTTAATGGAGCAAGACAAAAATGTCAGGCCTTTTTGTTTTATCACAGAGATTTCCCCATGAAGACTGAACAGACTCATCAGAGAAAAATGAAATTGTGGTGAGGAACTGCAAATAAATGTGATCATATTTGTGAAACAACACAGAAAAATTAGAGAACTGAATAACAAAACTTCCAGTTTGACTAGTTATATTCCCATTAAATCTAGAAATGAGAAAATTATTCTGACAGTCTCCCATTAAATTAGATGGTACACAAACAGAAGAACATCCAAGAGAGGAGTAGTGTTTTTTAATTTATTTTATCTATATATATTTTTAATGATGAGAGTAATGATGGAAATGGGTAATGTAGCCAACCTAAAAGCTCACATGCTGAATTGATGGGGTTCCCACAGGCAGAGAGTGGGGCAAACACCCCGGAAAACTGGTGCTCTCAGAGCCAGTCAAATCCACTTCATATTGGTGCACGTCAAAATGGTTTTTTATATGATAGTCATCTGGGCAACAGAAGAAATTTAAGAAGACAGAAAGGAAAAATCCTTTGTACCTTAAACCCAGAGCCAATCTTAAGAATAGAGATTTCAAACTTTGGGATAAGATAAGCAAAGGATTAAATAGGAAATTTACAATGCATGGAGATAAGTGTGAGGTTTATGCATGCATGTAAGCCGCAGCCTGAATAATATCACCACTAATACTGTCAGGCGTAAGATTGAGAGACCACACAGACCTACCCTCTGCATTCTGATTGTGAGGAAGACTTGGTGTTTCTTCTTCCAAACCAGAGCAGAAACAGGCACAGCACCTGCTTTGTGCTCAGGTACTCAGTATAAACTTGTTGCAGGGAGGAAGGCAGAAAAAAGAACAAGAATGGTTGGTTAGATGTTTGAACGTAAATCTCCTGAGCAGCTAGAAATGAAAGATCTTCCTTACCTTGATTGCCTGTCTGTAGAACTTTATAAAAAATAAAATAACTCTGGGAGAACATGAAATTCTATTCACGCTTTATAATTTATGAGTGCTATGTACACTGTGACTACTAGACACTAAGAAACTCCTTTGAAAAGTGTATAATTTTGTTAAGGAGTAAGACAAACTATAAACAAGGCAAACTCATCAATTTCAAACTTTCAGCATAGAGGTGTTTTGGAATGGCTCAGCCTCTTGAGCTGTGCCTCCCTCCACTGCCCATTTTATCTATCATCTATAAGACGGGGTTTCATTGTGTCATCCAGGCTGGAGTGCAGTGGCATAATCATAGCTTACTGCAGCCTTGACTTCCCAGGCTGAAGTGATCCTCCCACCTCAGCCTCATGAGTAACTGGGATTACAGGGGTGCACCACCACACCTGGCTAACTTTTTAATTTTTTTAGAGACCATGTCTTGCTATGTTGCCCAGGCTGGTCTCAAACTCCTGGCCTCAAGTCATCCTCCTGCCTCAGCCTCCCAAGTAGCTGAGATTACAAGAATCAGCCTTTGTGCTCAGCCTCCCATCCTCCATTTTAGAATCCCTGGTAAAAGAAGGGTGCTGGACCTGCATCCACCAATTGAGCCCCCATCTGCAAAGGACACTTGGTGTGGTCTTTGTTTTCCCACACTGCTGCAAACGTTCAGGCTGGCACTTAGTAAGTGCCTAGAGGGGCCATGTGGAGCTGGAAGGACTGTCTTTATAAGAATAGACTGGACCACATGGCCTTCCAACAGGCACTGTCATGAACCACTTGCCCTGCCTGTCTTCCACTTTGCCTTCCAACACATTTCCCATCTCCTAGGCTAATTTCTTCTTCAGGACCTCACCATTCTGACCTGACAGTGGCCTCGCTCTTGGCTTCTCAACAACATCAGCAAAGATTCTAGGGCTTGGTTTATAAGTGCTAAAGACTCTGAGGGAGAACTATAGGAGGATTAAGGCCTGTCCACTCTTAGAAAATGGCCAAGACAGATTTCTGCTGAATCAACATTATGTATGTCACACATGTAAATGATATCCTTTGATTTGTAACCAGGTCTGTCATTGCAATAGGCCTGGAGGCCTTGAGAAGGATTGCACCATTGCCCACTCGTGGAGAGCCAGGGTGGTCCATTTGCCATCACTGCATCCCAGCTTCTCAGCATTGGACCAGGTGAGTTTCAGCACTGTAATTTGGAATGCACATTTTGTTGCCCAGAAATAACTTTTCCTTATACACCTAGAGAGTAAATCCCAATTACCAAGATGCCCAGTTTGGGAACCTATGTGTGCATCTGTATGTATAACAACAAACAAGATACAGGGACACATCTCTTACTATTACAGGCTTTTGTTTTATCTTAATACCTGTTGTGACGTTGCTTCACAAAAGGAAGTTGCTTTGCCAACAGTTCACTGTGGAATATAGATTGTTCATAATGCTGTCAGCTCATAAACACCATACTGTCCTCATTGGGGACTGCTGAACATGAAAAGTATGTGGTGTAACTGGGTGCAACTTGCATGGCTACTGTCTTAGCTCAAGCTGCTATAAGAAAATACCATAGACTGGGTGACTTGACAGACATTTATTTCTCATTGTTCTGGAGTCTGAGAAGTCCACGACCAAGGTGTTGGCAGATTCCATTCCTGGTGGAGGTCATTTTCCTGGCTTGCAGATGGCCACCTTCTCACTGTGTCCTCACATGGCAGGGAGAGAGAGAGAGAGAGAGAGAGAGATCTCTGGTCTCTCTTCTTCTAAGAACACTAATACCATCATGGGACACCACCCTATGATGTCATCCAACTCTAATCACCTCCCAAAGATCCCACCTCCAAATACCATCACACTAGGGGTTAGGATTTCAGTATATGAATTTAGCGGATACACAGATAGTCAGCCCATAACAGATACATTAACAAAACTAGAACCAGGCATTAATTGTGTCAGCTTAAATTTCAGGCTCCAGGGGCAGGCACTGCCATATCTTTCCATACTACTTCCCTAGGTAAGGATTTTAAGAAGTTAAGAAGTGTTATATCATGTTGAACTTTATAGTCAAAAAGCACATTTATTTATTAGAAATAAATGTGTTGCCTTCTCATCATGTCAGGTGGCCACTGGCTAACTGTAGCACTGTGATCTTGGAAAGAAAGTAATGACTATATTTACTTAGTTTCCCTACAAATAGGGCATGTGATATATTACAGAATTTTGAGTGAAAATACTGAGGTATGAGTCTTAATATAACATCACTGATTATAGGATCTTGAATAAAACATTTAGTGTGTTTAGCCTCAGTCTTCTTGTTTGTAAAATGAGAATCACAGTTACCTTGTTGGTTAAAATGGCTATATGATAAGCTAAGTCATTTGATATTTATAGGCTCAGTTTCTTCTTTGCCTTATGGGGGTGACAGTTATTAAATGAGCAAACTTATGTGAAAGTGTGTTATGAAATAATAAATCCTAAAATGCTATATATTTTCTGAAGCTGTTTTCAACTCAGATAATTGTAACTCTGTGGTCACAACATACCTTTTCCATGAGAATAGAAACTTTTGTCCTTTACCTCTGTAGCCCCACTACCAAGTTCAATGCCTAGCATATTGTGGACAGTGAATACATGTGAACTGAATGAAAGGAGTGAAGGAACTGAATTCTCTGTCATGGGAATAAGCTGGCTGCCTTGCCCTGCCAGGAAAAAGTTAATGCTTAAGGCTACAAATGTGGAACCCTACAGATCCTCTGGGTTCTTGGAAGAACTCCTTGATTCTACCAGGTATCTTCCATACCATGCAAAATTTATACAAGTTATTAGAGCCTGGCAAGGAAAAGAATCAAGCAATCCAAAAAAGGGGGCAGAAGGGATAAAAATTGATCTTTTCTACTTTTCTAAGAGTCTGCCCTGCTGTCTAGGTGGGACAATAACTTTGGGATTGAAGTTTTTCTCTCCAAATAAGCTACCAATGATACCAGTGTGGAATAAGAATCATATCTGCTGGAGAGCTTGCAAACAATACATCAATATAGAATCCCCAGAGCAGAACAGGGAATAAGTGTCAGGAAAGTCAGATTTTTGCTCTGGTTCTGTTACAAAATTTCCTGGAGTTTCCTATGTTATTATAGGTCTCTAACTTGCATATAAACAGAAGGGATTAGATTGGCTCTAGCCTAAGCCTCTCTATCATCCGGGAGCTCTGAATGTGTTGTCATCTCTGATTCAGTAGATGATCACACCAACAGTTGCCATGGCTGTCCACTTCTGACTGATAATTACTGGAGTTCAGGAGTGCTCATTATCTAAAGATTCTCCCCTACACTTGGGCATCCATGGCTCCTCAAGAAACTTGTGATCCCATTCTGTGCTATTATGAATGATATTCAGCGTTGGTCACGTAACTACAAGATAGGATTGCCATTTCACTGCACTTTGATCATAAATCAGCTTGGCAAGTTTGTGGTGACATTCCATAGTTTCAGTATGTTAATAAAGCTTTCACGCTCTGGTCTCTTGCAGAGTGCTCACTCTGCACGTTGCATCTGTTCACCTTGCATGGAAAAGTCCAGAAGAGCAGGTGAAGTCCTTGAGAGCTAAGGCACCTGAGCCTAGACATGATAGGAACATGAGCACAAAGTTTTCTTTTACATTGGAAAAAAATAAAGACCAAGTTCTGAGAATGAAAGTTGATTCATTTTTCTCTAAGTAAGAAAATAAAAATAAAATAATAATAAAATGTAAAGGGGAAACTGGCAAGTTGACAAATTTTATGTAATTAATTACACTGTAAGAGGGTAAATGTCCGAACTCTCAGGTAAAGCCATGATGACAATTATTTCAGTGATGCCCATTGAAACCACACAGTACCCCAAAATAGTGACTGAAACTTGTATTTCTGCTCTATTAGAAGAAGAAAAAGACTGCCACTAATCTACACCATTCATTCCCACTTTCTAGTACACACTGAAGAATGGACTTCCTTTTGCGGGGATAAGTTTGAGTTTGAAAACCAAGCAAAGGGCCATATTTTGAGACTAGAAATCCCACAGCTGAGGTGTGTTGAGAATAAATGCAAAAAGAACGTTGCCTCAAAAATATCTGATGAGGGAGAATCCCCATTACACTGGCTCGCAGGGTGGTCAGGACGAGCACTAGCAAAGTGGAGAAATCTGGCTGAGCTGTGGCGATGCACCAGCTGCTGCTGCAGCAGTGAGATGAACGCTGCTGGTTGCCTGCTGCTTCACTTCACAGAGGAGGTGCCCCTCAAACATACTGAGGTGGTGCAAATCCACTTCCTTCAATCTCATTTTCAGATTTTCTCCCATCTTGAATTATTCCTTAAATGCCTTTATATTTTTAAATATAAAGTTTATTGTCACCTCAACTTCCCATCCAGAAAAATTGCATGTAGTGTGAAATAATTTACCATGGTTAAATTCCCTGGCAGTCATTTGTCTGTGACTTGTCAGAGGTAAAGTAGAGAAAGATGTGTGTGGAGATGTGATGTGTAAAGAAGAGAATTGGGGGCATGGGGGGATTAAAGAAGAAATAAATCTTGATGTTCATCAAGCATGTAGCAATTGCTACCTTTTAGGTTTCTACCCAGCAGTGAGACACCTGGTCAGATCAGGTGTCTAGACCAACATAAAGCTTATGCCTGAACAGATTCTTGGGGGCAGCTGCTGCTGAGCCAGGCTTAGCAGACAAGTGTTGTTTATCTGATAAATTTTTGAATTTGGAATCATTGTTTGGCTCATCATAAACAAGAAGGTTTTTTCGGGAATACTAACATATTCTTCTTCAATGGATGGTGATTCAGTCAAGTGCCAGATAAAGTGGTCTCAAGATGCTATGTGAATTGGGTTAGTATAGGACAAAGGGATAAGAAACCATTACTTTGTCTGGTTGTCATTGGCTCTGTTAGCCACCTGGATTTATTTAACCTTCAATTCTATTTTTCAATGAATAATTTAATTATAAAGAATCTGAAGTGTTTATGAGGTCATGCTGGTCAAAAAGTTTCCGAAAGTTTGAGTCTTGCACTGTGTCTTGATCTCTCTGTTCTATCATTCCGTGAAAGGGAAGGAATGGTAATGGACTTTCCTCAACAGGTTGTTTGAATGAGAGCCCAAGAATCGAGAGTCCCATGCAGTGCAGTTTTAATTTCTACCCTTTCCCAATCCTCTGAGCCTGTTAGACTCTGAATCTGAATATGTGTTCTTTTCAAAGAAGCCAGTAGAAATGAGAATGCTCATTGATTAGACTGAACCTCTGATAGTAATCAGTCTTGGAAAAAAAGTGCAATTGTGATAATGTCACAAAAAAAGAGTGTTTGTCCCTCAGAAAATAATTACAAAAATTAACTTGCAACAGGTCACGGTACATTTTGTTCTAAAGCATGCGGAAGTAGTAAGAGATATCACGTTATACTGCTTTCTGAGTCTTTGGGCTTTATCTGTTTCTTTCTTCTCCCACCAAACTGCTACAAAGAGAAGCTCGTAGTCATTTTCCATTTAAATCTCAACCCACAGTCTGCCTTCTCCCCGCAACCGCAACATCCCTAACACCCCCATACTTGAAGTTAGTGGAATGCCTATTAATCAAGGTCACTCACAGTCTCCTTTTTGCCAAATCCAATGTAGGCACTAATCAGTTCTTATCTCATTTCTGTATCTTGATGCTGTTCACACCCATACCTTCAAAAGCTCACTCCTCCTTGGCTTCCTCATACAATCTCTCCTGTATGAGGTCTGCTCTAACTTTTTGTACCATTATTTTGCAGTCTCCTCCTGGAACTATTCTGGATCATTCTTCCTTCCCCTTGTTTGTGACCCTAGTCTTCCATCCTTATCTTAAAAAAAAAAAAGTTCTTCATAAACTTCCCCAGGATGGTCTAGCTCACTCACATCCTTGGCCTGAACCACCACTGTTATAATAACTCCCAAATACATTCCTATCCCTGAACTCTGTCTTATGAGACTCCAATTTCCTATTGCCTACCTGTGAGAACTGTGAGACCCTGGGATACTCAGACTTCATAGATCCAAAACCAGATTCATACTTCTCCCAAGCCTCATTTTTAAAAAATTCCCTAAATTAGCCATGATGCCACAGTACAATCAGTCACACTAATCTGGTGCCTGCCTCTGCCTATTGTCCCTCAGATACATTGTTGCCTTGCTCAGCAGGCTGTTTTCCAGGCTCTCCTGTTAGCTGGTTTCTGCATTAGCTGCCCAATGTGAAGTCCTCACAGGAGATTGGAGGGTAAGAGGAAAGGAAAGGAGAAGCCACGGTATCTCTTATGCACACACACCACTAGACAGTACCTAGAATGGTTTTTGTTTCCTTGGTTGGACCCTATATGAAACACTCTCCATCTTTCACACCCCTCAAATCAATCCATTCTCTCCCCTCCATCTCCACTCACACTGACTTCATCTAGTCTTCATCATTTCTCTTCTGCATCTTGGTAATAGACTTCATATTCTTTAATTTACATCTCGTCCAATCCATTCTCTATATTGCTACAGAATAAGCTCTCTAAAGTGATCGTTAGATATAGGTCTCCCATTTAAACTAAAGCAGACAGCCATCCTCCAAGTGATATCAGTTATGAGTAGCTCCTTAAGAATAAGAGTAGATCTCCATGCCTGGGAACACATGGTCGTGCAATTTGGCAACAAGTGATTAGCCTAAGGATGTCACCTGATCTGAAGGTACCAGACCTAAAGGCCATCAGGGGAATCAATGGTCCATTCAGTAGCCTGGCTAGAGAACTGTTTACTGTGACCACAAATATTGCATAGTGACTGGTCAGCTTGGTTAGATCCCTTTGCAATTTTAAATGAAAGACGGCGACCAGGTACAGTGGAGCAGAAGCTAAAAGTAACAGGGTAGAAGTGTAATGAAAACCACAAGGCAGCAGAAACAATGGTGCAGTGTGAGTTAGCGGCAGTAGGTGGGCCGCCACGCGAGTAGCCATCATAAGCTAAATGGGAGCAAATAGCAGCACCAGAATCCAGACTCGAGAAGAAGATATCACTAGAGTCATTTGAGGATGCAGGAACAGTTGTGAGCTGAGCAGGGAGCAGTGACTATTCATCTGCTGAGCACTGAAGTGATTTCTGTACTTTCCACTTCTCCTTGTAACCTTAAATGAAACCCCATCCAAAAAAAAAAAAGTGTTTCTTTTCCTCACAAACTAACTGCACACCTCTTCTTCATGTGTTTCAGAAAATCACATGGTCCTAATACTCACGGGACCCAGTTGCAAAGTTTGGGAAATGCTTTCTTTCCTCTCCAAACTTTCACAATGCAAAGTCCTCCGTGAACTTGCCTCCTGTCTGCAGCATTATCTGAGTCAGACTTGTTCTTCTCCAAAGGAATGGTGAGTTCTTTGTGGCAGGACTGGCACCTTTCTCTCACAGCAACAATATAATCTCAAGTGATTGTTCTTAACGCCCTGTTGTAACCCAACTGTGATATGGGTTCTCCTGGCTCCATCCCTTTGTGTAATAGTTGCTCCTCCCTGTGCCTGAAAGGCCTGGAAAAAGGAGGTCTTTTTCACCTTAAGTGTTCATATTCTTTACAGGTCAGTTAAGGTATTAATGAAGACTTCTGTGACGTGACACCCCTCTCCTTTATTGGTCCCCATCAGACAGGTAAAGGTTTCATATCTGCTCTTCTGACACTTGTACAAGCCTACCATTATTTTAAAATCTTGCCATTCTTTTACATTAGTCTGAGCAATTCCAGGACTAAGATTCTAACCAGTTTATTCTTGTGTGATCCTGCTTAAAGTACATAGAACGTGTGCAAGAAATAAATACATTCATTGGAGAAAAGTTTTTCTAATCCCTGGGAGACCTCAGGGAGCCATTATACCTCAGGGAGGTATAATGGAATGAAATCTGGAGCAAAGTTCTGAGTCTTTCTCTGAAGCACCTCAACCCCTAGGAGCCTGATTTTCCACATCTTTAAATATCGTTGGATGGCTAAGCATCAAGCTCAGTAACCTCTATGGTCCTTGGCACTGCTATGAATGTATTTCAAGACTGGCCCTGGAATTTGCTTCTACTCACATCCCATCACCTCCTCACCCATAAATCTGGTTACAGTGTTCCCTCGATATCTTCAGAGGTTTGGCCCAGGACCCCCATGTACACCCAAATCCACACATAGTCAAGTCTGGCAGTCAGCCCTGCAGGAACTGGAACCCACATATACAGAAGTTGGCCCTCCCTATATAAGCAGGTTTCAGATCCTAGGAATACTTGGTTTTCTGTCCACATTTGGTTGAAAAATTTTGCACGTAAATGGACCCACCCAGTTAAAACCCATGTTGTCGCTGGGCCTGGTGGCTCACACCCATAATCCTAGTGCTTTTGGAGGCTTAGGTGGGAGGGTCAATTAAAGCCAGGAGTTCAAGACCAGCCCAGGCAACATAGCAAGACTCCATCTCTGCAAAAAAATTGAAAATTAGCTGGGCATTGTGGCATGCACCTGTAGTCCCAGCTACTTAGGAGGCTGAGGCAGGAGGAACGCTTGAGACCAGGAGTTTGAGATTACAGTGAGCTAGGATTGTGTCCCTACACTGCAGCCTGTAAGACAAAGAGAGACCCTGTCTCAAAAACAAAAACAAACAAAACTTGTTTTGCCCAAGGGTCAACTGTATAGAGTTCATATTATGACTAATTATTTGTTGTCATTGTTACTTAATTTTGTGCAATGGAGAAGGGATATGTTATTTAATATTACACAGAACCTATTCCTACACAATCAAGGTAGGCTTCAAGATATGGATAACATAGATATTATCAGTCTGAAGACAGATCCACATAAAGTTTTAACTTCAAATGCATAAAACTAAGTTTGGTAATCTGTAAAGGAAGATTGGAAAGACAAAATTCTTCAGGCTACCACGCTGAAAAAAAAAGTTTGTGATCTACATTTATGTATTTAAAATTTAAAGAGAGAATAGTATGTAAAATTAACTTTATTTGACATGCATGTATACCAAATATAAAATTAGCTTAGCTGACAGATCTAGGTTGGTTAAAACTCTAAATAGATCATACAAAACAAAGATTGGCAACCATTTCTTATATGCTTCTCATCTACAACAAGGACTTTTGCCATTGCCATAACTTGATATTGCTGGAAAACATTTTTGATATTTGACATTAACAGTATGAAGTAGAAAAATAGAAAAACAAGAAACATATATATACTGAAAAAAAATTCAAACAACAAGTCTATACATAGTTGCTTGTCCTTAGAAAGAAACATATCTAACAGAGCTAAAATTAGGAGTATCCAATATACACATAGTCATCAAGTTAATCTATTTTGCAAGAACCAACTTTCTGGCAGGAAAGAAAAGTGAATGAGTCTTCCTTGACACTCCATCAGGAGTTATGCATGAATCAAATAAAAGGATTTTGCTAAAGTCTGTTGACTCTTCCTAAACAACCTTTCTCTCTACTCTCACGAATACAGATCCTTTTTTTTTTAGAGATTGAGCATCTTAGCTAGTCCTTTAAAATGAGTTCCTTTGTTCTCCATACTTTTGGGATTTATCTTTCTGAACCCCAAATCTCGATTGCCTGTTCAAAAGTCTAAACTTCTTGTTCTATACAAGACTTGTACCAGACCATTGCTTTCCTTTTCTGACATCTTTACTCAGCACTCTGCTCTGCGCTGGCCCCTGAACCACTTGCACTTGCCTGAATGCCCTGTGCAGTTCCATGTTTTCAAGTCAACAACTCATAGGGTACCTCACAGCTATGTGCCAGGCATGTTGTAGGCAATTTTCATGCATTTGTTCATGCTATTTCCAGTGCATGGAATGTCCTGCCCAAAATCTGTTTCCTGGAAAATATCCACCCATCTTTCAAGTGTTGGTACATGGTTTGTATAAATTTGGTCATATCTGTCTGTCTCACTTTCTGTTCCTTCAGTCAGTCAGCTTTATGCAAATGTCAACTGCAGAAAGTCCTAATACAATTATGTCTACTGGGCCATAAACTCTGAGGAACAGGTCCATGCCTCATTCATCATTTCATCCCTAACACCTGCCTAGTATCTGACACTTACATTAATTCATCTTAGCCCCAATTAGTCCTATTCTTCTTTCATCTGTGACAAAGAATAAAATAAGCATGAAAAAACTTCATCAGACACTACTAGGTTATCATTTCAGAAATCAGAATAGAAATACATAAATATAAGAAACTTGCAGGAGCATAAGGATGAATCTTAATGGATGAAGCCCAGAGAATTCATGAACTTCCTCAAGTTACGAGACACATTAATGGCTCAGGGTTTCTTCTTCTTTTTTTTTTTTTTTTTTTTTTTTTTTTTTTGAGATGGAGTCTCACTTTGTTGCCCAGGCTGGAGTGCAGTGGCGCAATTTCCACTCACTGCAAGCTCCGCCTCCTCGGTTCACGCCATTCTCCTGCCTCAACCTCATGAGTAGCTGGGACTACAGGCGCCGGCCACCACGCCCAGCTAATTTTGTATTTTTAGTAGAGATGGGGTTTCACCGTGTTAGCCAGGATGGTCTCGATCTCCTGACCTTGTGATCCTCCCTCCTTGGCCTCCCAAAGTGCTGGGGTTACAGGCTTGAGCCACCGCGCCCGGCCTCAGGGTTTCTTTTATAACTGTGATCAGGAAGATGTGCTTTTCTTTCTACTTGGTTAAGCAACTAATCAAACTCAGCACAACAAAACAAAGATTCTCCTTTTCTCCCAAGAAGTTCAACAGTTCTAGCGTTGTAGAACATTTCACAAATAAAACCATCCTAGTTTCCTTTTCCCATAAACAGTTGAACACATCAGTGTGATAAGATCACCTCACACTATTTCTTGGCTTAATGCTAGCATTGCCTCCTGCATACAGATTTCTCTTACCCTTCTAGCAGATTTAATTGCTTCTTCCCCTGTATTCCCACAGCACTGTATATACTCTATTATAGCTAGTTTACGAATAATAATATTAATTCTGGACCATAAAATTGCAACTGGTCAATGCCTGGCATATAATGAACACTCAAATGAACAAGGAATTGAATCTTGCTTTAATGAAGTAAGTCAAGACTAATTATGTCAGTTCCAATCTTAAGAACGTCCTTGGCTTTTAATGAGGGGTCTTCATCTTTGAACACAGATTTAGTTTCAGACAGTGGTTTTTGCTGCCTGTAATAACTAAAGTTTGCAAAAAAATTAATTATTTGAGGACACTATATTTTTAAGAAATGAATTTCCTTAAACTATTCCTACAAGGGTAATATACAGTAAGTGAAAAACCACTAACACGGTAGTTCTCATAGTGGTTGCTTTTATGTATGCATACTTAAGATAATTTTAAGTGGTTAGAATAGGTCCAGAGAACACCTATATTCTATGGTGTTGCCATTTAATGTTTTAATTATTTAAAATACTTAAATAATTTAATATTTAATTTGAAAAATTAAATACTGAGTTTGTTGTGGGCAAATTAGTGGTGATAAAACATTATTAATCTAAAATCTGCTCTTAAAATTTGTTCAGATTATCATTGACTGATTGGCCCCGCCCTCCCCATATTCACTCATAATATGATTTGTTATTTTGTGATTCTTGACAGTTAAGAAAGCAATTTTAATACCTGAAATGCAAGTCTAGCTGTGGCTTCATTTTAAGAATTTGGTAATTTTGTAAAAGTGCTTGAATGCTTGTTTTACCATTGTTATATCTCAATTCTTATAAGACCCTCAGCAGAATCAATTTACATGACTGGCAGTACTAAGCCACTTTAAAATTATTTTAAATAATTTTATTTGCTTGGGTTCTACTTGTTTGGGTTTTACATACTACTGTGGCATCCTTCTTTTAAGGATATAAACTATAATTAGAAATGATATGGAAAAAAGTGACTAGAAAACAAATCTGAAGGCTTTTAAAAATTTCAGAGTACATTAGTAAATGCTTTAAAAGACAACCCATCCAATAACATATATGCAAGTTAACACTACAAATTCAATGACATAAGAAAATAGATTGGACTTACTTTTACATTCACCTCTACAGATACTCTATAATGAACACACTAGTATGATGATAATAAAGCAATCAAGAACAATTTATCTCTCAGTCTGTGTATATGTGACTATCTACATATTTATTTCACACACACATGCCAAATACCCACATAACTTCAATCCTATATCCATTTACCTCTCAGAGTGATTTAAAGTAGCCACAGTGGCACATAAAAGGAAAAAAATAATGAATTCCAGGCTTCCTAGTAAGTAAAGCCAAATCAAATTGTTCAAGTGATACTATAGTGCTATTTTTACAGGAAAACACAGATTTCTATAATTTCTGGTCATTTACTTCATCATTAAAGTACTATTTGCCAATATTGGTTTCACATAATGACAATAAAACATTCTTGACTTATATACTACATGAAAAAAATAGATTATGAGCTTATTTTTTGACCAGTCATCAAACATGTTTTCATTTGAATAAAGAAAATTCTTCCAGTTTAATATGTTTATCAATTTGTTTTTTCAATGAAACAAAGTAAATTTACAGTAAAGTTACTGGTCTCAATATAAGTCTTCCAATCTTCAAATTCAGCCGAACAGTACAAGGATTACAGGAGAAAAAAAAACACAATTAATCTCTTGTGGCTATCATTTTAGGGGCTGGTTTTCTCATATTGCTGAATTCTACCACACCCTGTCGTATTTCCAAGGTTTGGATGGTGCTTTAAATCTGAACTGCCTGAGAAGATTCAGAAAGCCTTTGTTCTTGGGCTTACACAGTAAGCACTTTGCGTGATTCCTAATCACATTTTTATCCAGAACACAGTGTTACGGGTCACATTTTTCTCAATAATGCTTATATTGATTGATGCTCTATAAATATAAACATATTTACATACAGAATACACACACTGACATGGGGGTATGAAGTTAGCCAGCCATCCATAGGAAGAATGGAATAAAAATTGCAGGAAGGGTAGTGTATGATACCAAGCCCGTACAGACTATAGACGCCAATCCCAAGACTGCTGAAGCAAGAACACTTCTCTGATCACGAATAATTATCTTCACAGTCTCACAAAACTGGAAAATAAAATATTGGAAAATTAGGAAAGGTGGCTAAACCCAAGAAGAATCACATATATCAAACAGTAAATCAGTTTTCCCAGCTATTTTCTGTCTACCAGAAGAACTAGACTTTTTCTTATGACTTACAAAAAAATTTACAATGTTAAGAGTCCAGTTCTGATTCTATACCGTATAGTAGCAGAAATGATCCCTTAGGCAACTAATAATGGCAGTTGCCTATGTAAATACAGCATTTATAGAAAACTATAGAAAGTATAACCACATGGTTATTCAGGACTAAAGGTTTAAAACATCAAACTGCTTATCAATAACAATAGCATATTTTAAAATTAGATGAGCAAAGAGGTGTCTCTAATCTTGAGTAAAAATAATAGAATTTGGCCAATTAAAAGTAGATTCAATTCCTCCAATCTGCCATTCTAAAATCTAATGATACCAATGATAACTTTTTTATAAGTCTCAAAATCTACAGGCATAGAAAGTCTAATTTTATTGTCAAATCCCATTTCCTGACTAAATATGCTAAATTCAGGATCAATTATGTGACACATAACTGGCTGCTGGAAAAAAAGACAAATATTGTCCTTACCCCTGAGGAATGCATCCTTCTAATATGTGTAATGTTTTCCTTAGAAAAATAATTTTACTTAGAAATGATGGCCTATGTCTGAGTCCTGGCTCCAGCTCTTATTGGCTATGTCACCTCAAGTAGTCAAATGGGAACACTCAAATTGTTCTGAGGATTAACTGAGATGTTTGATGCACAAGTCCTCTGTATTCTTCTACGTGCTGTATAAACATAAGGTATTACAGTGATTATTATTAGTACTCTATTTGTTGACAGTTATCTCTACCATATTGCCGTTGATGCCAGAATGCAGTGATTGTCAGTCATTTCTATATGGGTTTTGCTATTCATACTAATTTTAAGCTCTGTTTCTAGACATGGCATTTTATGTTCTTTTAGGGTTTTCTACAGTGGCTTACATGGTACTGGGCAGCTAGGTTTCCAAATTATTAAGTGATAGAATGAACAAGTTCAATATGTTTTAATACACCACTTTGACAGTATGGTTATCTCTATCCATACTTTTACACAATTACCTAAACAAGTGTGAAACTTATCTAGATGTTGGCCTATTTTTCTATCAGACATACTATTTGTCCTTTTTTAATAAACTAGCAAGGCATTGAGAAGTATACTATTTTAAGATGGTAAAGATCAAATTGAAGTTTTCAGGACAAGGAGAAAAGGAGGTTGATGGAAGACATATTTTTGTAAATGACTAAGTTGTAAATACAGTTATCCTTATTTTTTTCCTTGGTAATTTATAATTAAGTCAATCAGAATCATTTTCGACTGTATTTCCCACAAAAGCAGATTTTTCTCAAAAAGCAACTCATGTCTAATACCCTGTTCCTGTTCACTTGGTCAGCAGACCAGCAGGCATCTTTAGTGGTGCTCAACAGTAGGAAATTTCTAGAAGGGGTCAATAAGTCTGTAGGAACACTCTTGTGAGCACTCAATCCACACAAATTAAAAGGGGCATTTGCAATCATTTTTGGCAATGAAAGAGCAGTATTAACAAAGTAAAAAAAAATCATAGTAGAAAAAGCATAAGGAATAGTAATAGTTATTAACCAAAGGAATTTTTAGTTTACAAAATACTGATTGTCAACAGTATTATAAAAATCCCATTATTTTATGACTTCTAAACTTGTAAAATAGAGTGTTACCACAAAGGAGTAAATGTTCTTTTCCAGTTCATTCATTTGCAAACTAATTGCAGTGTTTTCCTTAGGGGTAGTGTGTTCTTGAGAGTTTTTATTAACTCAAATTTAAGTAAGAGGCAACTTTGTAACTCTCATGTTAATATTAGTTGCATATATGGAGAACTCAGCAATCAGACCCAGAATCAAATAATTTCTTATGTTTCTAAAAAGTAGAAACCAGTCCTTCCTTCAGTATTAATGACCTACTTCTCTCAGTGCATGTTCAAAAACAGTTTGTAGAATTAGGAAATTTGGGATGAAAACTTTTTTTTTTCCCCCGGGAAATCTACTCTGTGGCCAAATTGTTTGTTAGACCATTCAAAGTGAAGACAAAACTCAGTTTCACAAGAGGTGCTATGCAGCAACAGCAATTAAAACACTTCTCTACTTCTGTAGACCCTAACAAAGTTTCCAAAGATGAAAAACTACTCCAACTAGTTATTTATGCAGATTAAATATTTTACTACCTTACAAAAGCACTAGTTACTGTTTTTCTGTAGAAATATATAATGCAGCGCTATATGTGTTCCATGAAAGGGTAACTCCTAATTACCTGATAGAAATACTGTTTTTCCTTAGAGAAATGATTTGCTTGGTTCCTAAGTAAATCTGACATGTTTCCTTTTGTACACTTTGGGAGCCCGTGTTTGTAAATGTGGTGGAGTTCATTTCTAAACAGGCCTGGACTAGAGCTGTGATTCTTGAATCGCTGCACAGTGCTCTAACTGTATTTTTATTTTACTTGGAAAAGAATTCCTAGATTGAGTCTTTTGTGGCTCTATAAAATCTATAAGGAGTTTCATACACCGATCTATAAAAGCAAAATACTTCCATGCTCTCCCACAGAGGATAGAGAAAGATGTTCCCAAATGGGTCAAAAAAATTAACCAAGATGTGGAGCAATTAAAAACTGGTTACATGAAAAAAACTGACTTAGCTTTTTCTGGTCCCAAAAATATCTAAACATGAAGAGTAACACTAAAGCTCATATGTTATTGCCCAGGTTTCCATTATAAAGACTGAACATTAACAATGACTTCTTTAACAAGTGCAATGAAGGCTGAGAAAGTTTCCAATTGTAAGTGAAGTTTCAGGCTTAAAATCTTAACTATTTTTAAAAGTTAAGAGGTTTTAAAAGGAAATAAAAATCCATTTTTCCCTTTGGATTTGTGGCTAATTTAATAATCATGAGTATTTTTTCAAAATACTCATAAAAATTACCTTCCAATGTTTAACATCTCTTCTTGAAAACTAATTGTATTGATCTCTGGGGAACCCATAAACAATGTAATCTACCTTCAGGGCTAATGGGTAAAGGATGCTTAACAATGAAGTCTAGATGAGGATCAAAGCCAACCCAGAAAGAATTCAGAATACCATGGAAAATACAACTCTGAAGCACCAACACAAAGAATAAGGGAACTACCAGGGGGGCCCTCTTACTGGGAATTTTGATAGCTTATAGCAAGCAATGAAAAATCCCTCTATGCAGCTTTCAAAGGGAGAAAACTGCATGGTTCCTTATTTTAAAGGCACACACTTTGTTTATAGTGTTATGGATTAAATATAAACTCTGGACCTCTTCCTTTCAAGTGAAATTCTTGGTTAAAGTTGCAAGCAGCGGTGACTGATTCCTTGTATCCCCCACCCCCAGTCACTTGCCCTTTGTCGTTTGAACTACACTGTGGGTGGACACCTGATGACTTCTGCAGCAATACTGGGCAGCTCTGGAATCTCTGGAAGCGGTCCTGCATTGCCACATCCTTTCTCTAAGCATTTCGAGATATCCTGCAAGGCACGTTGCCATTTGCTTATTTACTTAGCCTACCTTAGGAACACCAGAACTTTCCTTACTTAATCTAGAACTTTAAGAATGTTATGGAAGGCCGGGCACGGTGGCTCACGCCTGTAATCCCAGCACTTTGGGATGCTGAGGCGGGAGGATCACGAGGTCAGGAGATCGGGACCATCCTTGCTAATACGGTGAAACCCCATCTCTACTAAAAATACAAAAATAAATTAGCCGGGCGTGGTGGCGGGTGCCTGTAGTCCCAGCTACTCAGGAGGCTGAGGCAGGAGAATGGCGTGAACTCTGGAGGCGGAGTTTGCAGTGAGTGGAGATCGCGCCACTGCACTCCAGCCTGAGCAACAGAGCGAGACTCCGTCTCAAAAAAAAAAAAAAAAAAAAAAAAAAAAAAGGAAAAAGAAAAAGGATGGTATGGAAGTGGTAGGGGAGGTGTCCAGGAATTAGATCCCTACTCGCGGGGAAGAGAAAAGGTCAGGGATGGGAGGGGGCATCTCCGCGGAGCCCACTTCCCCTGGGAGTCACACATCATACCTTGTCGGACTGGGGACTGATCGGGGTGCCATATCTGCAGTAGGTCACGAAGTGCTCGCAGTTGTTCCACAGCAGGCTGTAGGGGGTAAAGCCCAGCAGCTTTTCAGCCCTCCGCGCCACCTCCTCGTTGAGCAGTGCCTTTTTCTGGAGGGACTCGTCCAGGTGATTGACCAGGATGTTAGCTCCGTAGGCGAAGTCCTCCACTGTGTCCACGCGGATGCTGGCCACTTTGACAATAACGCCCAGGATGAGACGCTTGTTGGAGACCACCTTCTGCGTGCGCCCCATGTCGTCTGTCAGGGCCAACAGGATGTCGGGCATCATGTGGGCAACACGGTTGTCTCCTAGGTAGATGCCATAGTGGGTCAGGTGGGTCCGGGGCACCTCCAGCACGTCGCCTCGGTGGAAAGAGCTGGTTTCATAAAAACTGTTCCTCCCTTTGTCTTCGCCCGCGGCGCCCGAACTAAAGAGCGTGAAGTTGGAGATGAGGAGCAGCTTCTCCAGTAGTAAAGACACCACCTCCAGCATGGGGTTCTTCATCCTGCAGGGAAGAGGGCGTCTTGGAGAGGTGCCGGTGCCACTCCGGCAGGGGCCGGGCTGGGCAAGTTAAGCTCGCCGGGCAGGGGTGCTGCGCTGCTGCTCACCTGCAGGCCAGGTGAGGTACGGCGCAAAGTACGGCCGCTGAGGAGAGAGGAAGGCAAAGGAGGACAGCGAGGCCTGGCGACCGGCTCAGCCAAGCCACAATGGGGAATGAGACGGATAAGGAACCGGTGGCTGACGGCGGGGACAGTGAGACCAGTGCTACAAGCAGCCGGAGAAGGAGCGCACCTGGGGGCCGTGCCGGGGGCAGGGCCGCGCGCGGTGCTCGGAGGTGCAGGCTTCGCTGCGACTTTTTATGGCCGTCGAGGGGGCGGAGCCGAAGGCCGTCACAGACCCGGAAAGCTCACTGATTGGGCGCCGCTGGCGCGCTGCGCTAGCGGCGGGGAGGACGCGGGATCCCGGTTTCTTTGGGAGGGGGGCGGGCCGACTCCCAGCTCCAGGGTTCTGCACAGTGATTCTTTATCGCCGCGGGATCCCGGTTGCACTACTGGCTTTTAAGTGGCCTATTTAGGGAGGTAGAGTCCCAAGGTGTGGCGGCACGAAAGGTCCTGCACCTGTCGGGACTGGGGCGAGTTCCTGGCACTTCGCGGTAGTCTTCGGTGGAAAGTCCTCTTGGGAGAGATTTCTGAGTTGGACCACCTTCCTCTAAAAGGATAGATATGAGGGACTTCGGCTTAATAAAGAGATTGCATTTACTTTGCAAAGTGCGAGCGCCTCGAATGCCTGCAGATTCTTTCCTGACCGAATCTTTCGTTTTGTTTTGTTTTGTTTTGAGACAGTGCCTTGCTCTATCACCCAGAGCAGGAGGGCGGTGGCGCGATCTGGGCTCACTGCAACCTCCGCCTCCCAGGTTCAAGCGATTCTCGTGCCTCAGCCTCCCAAGTAGCTGATATTACAGGCACCACGCCTGGCTAATTTTTGTATTTTTAGTAGACACGGGGTCTCACCATGTTGGCCAGGCTGGTGTTGGCCAGGCTGGTCTCGAACTCCTGACCTCAAGTGATCCGCCCTTCTGGACCTCCCAAACCGCTGGGATTACAGGCGTGAGCCACCGCGCCCAGCCCCTCTTTTTTCAAATGCCCTGAATCCTCCATGCTTTCAGCCGGCGCGAGGGTGTGTGTGTAGGGCGGGGGGGGGGGGGTTGGGGGGGTCGCTACCCGCGAGTCCAGTCCCTGCGCGCCGGTGATTTGAACCCGAGGCCTCTCTGCGCTCCTAGGCACCTGTGGCCGTTGAGTACGAAGCTTCCAACGGTTGGCATGAAAAACGGCGGGGTCCCAACGCCCGCCAGGAAAGCAAGATTCATGTTAAGTTTATTTCTCCGGCTTCAGGGTCACATGGACCCAGCTTCAGTTCACCCACCGAAACTTTGTCCGCCTCCCTTTATTTTTATTTTTATTTTTATTTTTATGTTTTTAAGCATAACCTCCCGGAGACGGCCAAGGAAGGCGAAGTACTTGGATGAGATGCTAAGTTCTTTGCCCGTGCGCCTGCAGCCCGACTCCAATGCCTCCTCGAGGGTGGTCCTAGGGAGCTGCCGGGTGAGGGAGCCGCTGAAGCGTTGGCCGCGCCAGGCTTGGCACGCGATGTCCCCACCGGGTGCTGAGTTCCGTGCTAATGCATTATGTAAATGCTTAAATTCTGCAGACAAAGGCCACAATGGAGAGCCTCGGGTGGCTCCACAAAGCTGCCCAGTCGGCGCTAATAGGTTTCATCAGCAGATTCTACGCACGCCTGAGGGTACTCTGCGGATGATGGATGAAGGAACATTCATTTTACCTGGAAGACGAAGGGGGCCATAGAGACCAGGCGTGAGGGAAAACGGCTCCCCATTATCCTTGGAGGCCGGGCCTTTGCTGCCACCCTCAATCTGCCGTCAGCGATCTGTCCCCGTCTCCCTGCTTGCCGGTGACTTTTGTTCATTCACAAACGATTGCGCATCACATTATAGTCCCAGCAAAGAGGAGAAAACTCCCACAAACGAGTCGAAAGAGGAAGTTGGAGAAGGGGAGAGAGCCAGTGGACGTGGAGATTTTTTTATTTTCCCAGTTTACTCCCAAAATTTAAAGAAAAGCGCCCAGGTGGCGAGTTGCTGAAACTCATCAGCTGCGCACAGGGAGCTTGCTAGCCTCTAGCAGCACAGCAGTCAGCACCCTTCGCTAAAATCGGGGGAGTCTGATAGACCTCGGTGTGTACGTTCAATGCAGACCCGACCTCACACTCTGAACTGGCTCCTCTGGGCCAGTTCTGGGAAAGCGCCAATACCGAAGCCTCTTGTGTCACGGGCCAAAGGGCCCCTGGAGATGAAAGGAAACGTGATAATTAACGGTTTCCGTCCCTGGTGGTCACTAAGGCGGCTTATAATGCTTATGACTGCCTCCACCTGGGGAACTTGAGGGAGACAAAAGCATGGAGAATTGCTTCAGGGCTCCACATAGCTATATACATATATATGAATTCTTTTATGTATATAAAAATATATACATATGTATACATTTTATATACATGAAAGAATTAGCTATAGACTCAATAGCCTTGTCCCACCGCGTTTTGGAAGACGCAAGCAGTGCCAAGCTGATTTGCGTTTCATTTTTCTTTTTCCCCCGGTGGGGTCCACTTTCTGGCCGCCTTCTTGGGAAAGGGCTTTACTTCAAAAAGAAAGGAGGTGAGAGCGATACGAGGCATGAATCTGTATAGGTGGCTCAAGATGCAGATACTCTGCTGCCATGGAAATGAATAGGGCGCGGAGTGTCCATAGTTTCTTGAAGGATATTTTTGCCTCTGATAAATTCCAATTTTTTAAGCCAGAACGTTATGCCATTAAGTGATTTATTTTGCTCAGTGGAATTGCCTGAAAGTAACCCTCTCCTGCTGCTCTGCGTGCTAGGACTTCGGCTTCCGGAAGCGACAGCCCGAAGGAGGCAGTGAAAAGTCTTCATTTGCCTTGTTTCTGAAGTCTTCCCAGAACTCTTATGCGGGAAGCGGTTAGCGATGATTAGGCAGCTTTTCAACTGCAAAAATATAGCGTGGAATGAGCTCCTCTCTCGGCTGGACTTCTCCCCGCCCCCGACCCCCCTTCGTCAAGGACCATTGCAAATTTACTTTGCAAAAGGCAGCTTCTCAATGTTCTCAAAATCTCATCTATTTCTGTGGTTGAGAGGTCAGTTTTTAATGGCTCCCTGGAGGCACACTTCATAAAAATACGTTTACACACTAATAGGCTTATGCCCCCAATAATATTTTCCTACCTGCCTCAATTTTAGCTAAACAAAGGGAAGACTATAGCTGTAGGTGGAAAGGCCCAAGAGAAATCTAACATTAGTTCTTCTAAATCAGAAGATGTCACATGGAGATAGGAGAAATTCCTCTACCCTGAGTAGCTGGAGAGACCTCTGGTTTCCCGGACCGTTAAGAAAGGTGGCTACATTCTGTGATAACGTTCTGCGTGCAAACGCCTTAAATACATGCGAATGCGTCACCAGGTCTGGCGGCGAGATTTAGAAAGAGCCTGGACTTTCCTGGTCAACACTCAGACAGACTGTGCTGAGCGGTCGACTCCCACTTTGGCCACCGCTTCCCCTACCCGCCTGCAGAAGAAGGAATGACAGCTACAGTGTCCCCGCAGGGTGGTCGGCCCCGGGGCAGCGCCCTCGCACCTGCCGCGCTCAGGCCCACGTCCATTTCCCCCAGTAACGCATACAGGCCAAGCAAGATCCGCTTGGGTCTCAGCGCAGAAGAGGCCGAAATTGAGGCTCACAGGTCCCAGCTTACTTCTGCACCTCATCTTCCCACGGCTACCTCACCAGAGGTCCCTGGAGAGTTTCTGTTCTTAAGAACTAGGACAGGGAAGAGGTGCAGAGTTCCACAGAAACCTAACGCCCTAGAAGGCTAACAGATTTCCCACCTGCAGGCTTTTTATCTCTGGATGCCCCCTGCTCCTCAGAGAAGTCTTTGGATGGAAGATATGATCACAGTATTAGTAATAATAATAACTAATATTTACGGTGTGCTTCCTGTGTATTAGGCACTGAACTAAGCATTTTCTTATTTAATCCTCATAACCCTATGAGGTATTATCTCCATTTTACACAGGAAGAAATTGAAGCTTATAACTTCGTCTAGTCAGTGTGCTAATGTGTGGGGATCAGGACTCAACCACAGGTCTCTTTTGCCCCAGGTCCTTTACCGTCACTGGGAAGGCCTGCCTTTCCATCAGTCTAACCACCCATTACACATCATTTATTGAATACCTGCTATATGGCAGGTGCTATGACCAACCCTAGAGGTTCAATAAAACACCTCACCCTAAACTTAGATCCCACAATTTCTTTGTAATCTGTAATTAATTTCCCCTCTTCTCTCATGTCACGAGGTCTAATTTTTAACATCATTTTACTGGGATAGTGAGAATAGAGCTGGTTAAGGTTCTGATTAATAGTATGCCATCACTAGGAAGGCTACAAAATCCTACACCCTCCTTAGGGTGTAGGATGAATCTGGGGTGGGGAAGTTCAATGTCTTACCCAAGGGCACAGAGTCAGGAGCAGAATGCAGGCCCAGTGTTCCAGACTTCATTATCTCAGATTTTCTTTTACTTGAGCTCTAGGCCTGAGAAATTTGGTTTTCTAAACTGCATGTTTTAAAATTCTTGTCCTTCTTAGGGATTATTTTGTTGTTCTTGGATTTTTTTAGATTACTAAATCATTGGGCTATAAATAATGATAATCTTAACATTTGTTTTTTTCTTAGCTATCCATCTATATTCAGTTCTTTTACAAATGTCCAGGTCTGGTCCCCTGGACATAAATAGGGGCCCTAACTAGCTAACTCCAAAGGTGTGGGGAAAACAAAGTTGTTTGTGAACTTTGTTCTGACAGCAGAGGAAAAGAAGCAGACACTTCTCCATGGAGCCTCCTAACTCAGTGCTACATGCAGTGTTAGGCCAATAGGGATCAATTACCCCCTGGGAGGAGATTTTCCCTGGCTTCCTTCCTGGTGACTAGCATCTTATTATGAGGACCTCACTTTAGCCTATTGTCTTTAGAAAGATTAAAAGCTGCAGCTTCAGTTGGTTGTTTCTGTTGTTGTTGTCAATGCTGTTTTGTTGTTTTTGTTTGCCAACCATAAAATAAGAACATTGAACAAAACAAAGAATTTACATTTAGCATTATGAAGACTCCTAGCCCCAATTAATACAGCTTAATATAAAATTAACAACAGGTTGAGGCAGCTGTGATGCAGAGGTAGGAGGCAGAAAGGCAGAAATCCTGAGTTAAGGGCCTGGAAGTGCCATTTACAACAAAATAATCTCAGACAAGTCACTTGCCACCTCTGAGCCTCAATTCCGTCTTTCTAAAATGGAAATAATATCCAGAGGGCTATTTTGAGAATTAAACAGAATCAAATACATTGCAGTATTCTATGAAAATTCATAATGTGATGCATCATCTGCAATATTTGTATTATTCAGAGAAACAAAGTAAGGCAGAGGGGCTTTTCCATTTCTCGTTTGACAGCACAGTCATCCAAGAATGCAGTGTAGACAAAGGACATACCTTTACTCACAAACACGTTCTGAGGACTGGCACAGAGCCACAGGGGTGAGCAGGAAGCAGGCAAGTGTTTTGGAGTTGAGTAAAATGGACACAGTCAGTATGCAGCCAGCACACAGAGACTCACACTCAGGAGATTTGGGAGCTTTCTGAGAGCTCAGCTCCTCTGGCTGTTCACCAATGAAGTGGTTTATAATCATAAAAACAAAGACTAAAACCTGGCATTTGTTCAAAAATGCCTCTCACAAAGCAGAAAACACCCCAAATGTCTATTTCAGAAATGATAAAATGATATCAAGAAATGAGTAAAACATTTGATATGCCCACAAAACATAAAGCATATTCCACTTTTAAATAGAAACAATAAACAGCAAGGCATGTTACTTCTGAGTCACTTGGAAGAAATATAGCAGCTACTTTATAAGTTAATCTTGTTTGCTTTAGATCCTAATTTATTATTATGAGACAATAATAGATATGAATATTGGATGACCCAGGATTGTTAACAAAAGGAAATATGACTATAGCCTTTGGCTACGTATTCAGAAATTCAGAAGAAAGCTGCAGTGCCACTGTATTCATATAGGAAATGTACTGAGAAATTGGGTATTGCTATCATCAAACAGACCAGCATTGAGAAGCATCAGTACTACCAACTACCACAGCAGCAATGAATGTTGCTATTATATTTCAAAAATCCTAAATAGGTAGACATTTTAGAGACATGAAGACAAATAACTTTTAATGTCATGCTTTGCTTTAAATACTCATATCTGATGCTCTGTGAGATTGCTGACCCTCTTGAGGCCTCAGAGCCCTCATGTGTATAGTGTCCTGCCTGTGCTAGACTGGAATGAGATGCTCTCTAAACCCCTCCAAGGGTTCATGGAGCACCGGGCCTACAAAAATCAAATTACTCAGGCCCTTCAGAGTGTCTTAACTGCTAGTCAATTTTCAGGGGAGTAATTATAAGAAAAAGAAGATCAATCACTGTCTAGTACTTAGAAAACCTAATAGGATCCATAATAACTGTTTTAAAAGGAAAAAAGAAGTCATTCATACTGCAGTAAAGGAGTAATTCCATAGCAAAACAAGAAGAGATTGAGCAGGAGTTTGGCAGCAATTGGTGTTGAAAATCAATGGCTCCTTTAATAATGTATCTTCAATTGCAGAGAAATTTTAAGTGACATAGGCACACTATCTCATCAATGATTTGTAGCAATACTTATTGTTGATATGTTTTTTGAAAATACAATGTCTAATATCTAAAGTTAATCTGAAAGGTCAGTGTACCATTCTGGTCTTTTGTAGTTACATTTACTTTTTCAAATGTTTAAAAATTTTTTAGTTCAAAGTAACAATTGTACAGTATCATGGGGTACATAGTGATGTTTTGATACATATCATGCATAGTGATCAGATCAGGGTAATTAGCATATCCATCATCTCAAACATTTATCATTTATTTGTGTTGAGAACACTCAACATCCTCCTTCTAGCTATTTGAAACTACATAATATTATTAACTATAGTCATCCTACAGTGTTATAAATATACTCTTATCTCACACCATGCTAAAAATTCAATGTAGTTCAACTGAAGCTGATTCATACCTAAAAGTCTCATACAACTATAGAAAAAAAAATGGATTTTTGTCTCCAACTTCTTAATTGGGAGAACTCCAAGTGGGCAGCTCTCTTAAGAACCAAGCTGCCTGTGTTTGCCTCTGTAGGTACAAACTACACACTTGACTTAAGTACACTTATTTTTATCCTGGTTTCCCTCTACAGTGACTTGCCTTTAAGTCAGATTACGTAGAATTACTTTCATTTTATTAACATCCAGACTTTACTCATAAAGAATGTGAGTGGAACTGAAATTGGATCACATAGGATTAATTTTTTAAAATTCAGTAACCTTTTCTTTCTTTCTTTTTTTTTTTTGATGGAGTCTCACTCTGCCACCAGGCTGGAGGGCAGTGGCATGATCTCGGCTCACTGCAACATCTGCCTTCTGGGTTCAAGCAATTCTCCTGCCTCAGCTTCCCGTGTAGCTGGGACTACAGGCATACGCCACCATGCCCAGCTAATTTTCGTATTTTTAGTAGAGACAGGGTTTCACCATGTTGGCCAGGATGGCCTCAATCTCTTGACCTTGTGATCCGCCTGCCTCGGCCTCCAAAAGTGCTGGGATTACAGGCGTGAGCCACAGTGCCAACCCAACCTTTTTCTTTAAAGATAAATTAAAAACCTATAAAGTTTTTAATCTACATAGCAGTTTAAACCAGAAATCACAGGCATTTTTAAAGTTCACCTAGTTTAACTTTCAAAAAGAATAATCTAGAATATTTGCCCTTTGGTCATAATTATTTCATGTTGTAACATACATTACACTTGTTCTTTTGCATCTGTCATTCTTTTATCTCATTTAATTCTAGGGTGTTGGAATCCGGAAGGGAGGGCTCTAGTTTTTTTCTGTGATATCCTCTAAGGACATTGTATTAGTCCGTTTTCGCATGTTTGATAAAGACATACCCAAGACTAGGCAATTTACAAAGGAAGAGATTTAATTGGACTTACAGTTCCACATATCTGGGGAAGCCTCACAATCATGGTGGAAGGCAAGGAGGAGCAAGTCATGTCTTACATGAATGACAGCAGGCAAAGACAGAGAACTTGTGCAGCAGAACTCCTGTTTTTAAAACCATCAGATCTCGTGAGACTTATTCACTATCACAAGAACAACATGGGAACGACTTGCCCCCATGATTCAATTACCTCCCACTGTGTCCCTCCCACAACACTTGGGAATTCAAGATTAGATTTGGGTGGGGACACAGCCAAACCATATCAGATATTATTATGATGGGTCTAATTGTCAGAGGCCAAATGGCATCTCAAAAATCATCCCTGAATACCTTAGAACCTAGGAAATCAGGGTCACAATCAGCAGGGAGAGTGACCTGGGGTCTCTTAGATCATGAGTTTTATCCAACTGTGACCTGCCTCCTGCAGAAGAGCAAGTAACCAAACCAATAATGCTGTGAACCTCAGGGTGCCAGGCCACACTCAGCAGGTCCTTACCTATAGAGGGGTCTGTAGAGGATGGCCCTGGAACCAGGTCCAAAGGTTTAGCCAGACTTAGAAATCCTCTAGATTGTTATTAGATTTCCTCCTTTTAGTCCTGTGTCACCCAGAATATTGGCACAACCTACTTCATGATTCTAAGCAAATCAGTTGAACTCTTTGTGCCCTGGTCCACTCATCACAGAAAAAGCAATAGATACTATCCATTACTCCCCTGCTGGTGACTCTCATCGTCAATTCAGCTTCTGAACCTTCCTGGAATTCAATCTAGTGATAGCTGTAGATGGTCATTCTCACATCTCACTGCCAAGTCCAGTATAAGATGACAAAGTCCAAACTCTCTTTCTGTTTCCTTAAATTATGTCTCCTCTTACATTTGTTTTTATTTCTTTTGAAAGGGACTGGATTTTCTTGTATGTCTTTTAGGGCTGCACCATTTGGTTTCCAAATAACAATTCTTCTATTTTTCATCTTTTTTAAAAAAAGTACGTGGTGCTTAATTATAATTTAACCAAGTATTTTGCTTTATAGGTGAAATTATAGAAATCTTGAAGATTTCTCTCTACTCGTTTATGAATCCTCCAATGTAAAATGTCTAGCAGAGGTTTATTCTTTTTTCAGAAAACCAAATTCAAGAAGAATAAAGAGTAATTACTGATATTACAAAAGAAAGATTAATTGTCAAGAAGCTATTTTAATTATGTGCTTTACCAAAAATGTGACTTTATATAACTCATTTTAGCAATATTATCTAGAAATGGATCTTCCTTGAGTAAGGCAACATATTCATAAGAATGTGTTCTGAGTTCACAGTGGGCATTCAATAAAGTTTTTGCTTACAATTTTATCTAACAGTTATATTGTAAGTTACACTTATTTGGATTAGTTAAGAATTTTAACTCTCTTGGCTTATATTCCATAATTATTCCTATTTAAAATTTACATTTATTACCTTGGGTAAGTAGTCATCTCTCCAATTCAAAGTCCCTTTTGACTCAAAACTTCTACACTTCTTTGAGAAAGTCAAAAGCAATACATATTTTATTTAACTATTTTAAAATTACAAATTATGTATAAAAATTATATCAATAAAACATTCCCATATTTACATAGCCAAATAGATTTAAACGTACTGACATAAATTTATCTGTTCCTGAAAACACATGTGTTGTTGCTACCAAATAAGGAAGACAAAAGGGTAGGCTGGGACAGCACACTACAAATGGAAAAAGTGTGGGATGATGGTTAAGAATGTCTACTCTGTAGCTAACTTGCCTGGATTCAAATCCTGGCTCTTCTACTTCCTAGCTTTGTGACCTTTGGCAAGTTACTTAACTACTCTGTCTCAGTTACCTCCTCTCTAAGGTGAGGATGATGATAAAGATGAAGCCTACCTCATAAGGTTGTTATAAGGATTAAATGAATTAATATGTATGTATTACAAAAGCAGCACTTAGTAAGAACTCAAGAAATGATGGCTATGTATATTTTTCTTCTAGAATACATAAAGCAATCTCTTCATTGCCTATAACTCTCATGTAAATTTGGAAAAGGTGACAAAGAGCCGTAGGGCAGTAGGAAATTCTGTAAATGGGGATGGGAGAATTCTAGGCTTGAATCCACTTCAACAGGTATTTATTGAACATTTAGTCTCAAGTTCCATGTGGACATTCCAAAACACAGCAATGAATGAAATGCAGTCCCCTCCCTAATAGAACACAGAGCCTGGTAAGGAGGAAACAGACCTCAATAAACTTTCATAATTCTGTGTGATGTGTTGGAAAAGGATCATGCACTAAAGGTGAGAAATTCATCTACTTGGGGTAGGGAATGTGAGAGAATGAGTAGCTCCTAAGCAGTACCATGAGGAGTCAGAGTTTGTTAGATCTACAGGGGTAGGCATGTGGGTACCAAGAGGGCAGGCAAAGGAAGCAGCATGAACAAAGATGAGATTTAAATAGTCCAGCTCAACTAGAATATAGGACTTATACCTCTCTACGGGTAGAGGTCAAATCCACACTGGGAGCTTGTGGGGCCCGGGTTGTGAAGGGCCTCCTGTGCCATGTGGGGAGCTCAGACTTTATTCTGTAGGTAATCAATAGCCATGAGGGACATTCAAGAAGGGGAATGATGTGATCCAAAGCAACTGTGGAGCAGAGACCAATTAAAAGGTCACTTAGTAGTCCAGGGAAAAGATGAAAAGGGGCCAGATTAAGGTAATGGAAAACAAGATGGAGGAGCACGTAAAAAAGTTAAAGATATTTTTGGTGACCAACTGGATGTAGTGGTGGTGGCAGAAGTGGGAAGAAGAATAAAATGGAACCAGGGATGACTCTGGGCAAAGAGTGAAACCCTTCATAGGAATGGGGAAGGTAGGAGAAAAAGCAGGTTTTACAGGAGGAACAAATGAGTTCACTCTCGGACATGTTGAGTTTCAGGAGTCTATGGCTTTTCAAGTTGGGATGTTAAGTAGGTGGATACATAGATTAAACAAGATCTCTGGAGAGAAGTATGGCCATAGGATACAGATTTGGGAGTCAGAAGTGTGTGGGTGCTACTACTTTGGAGTAGACAAAACTGCCCAGGGATAACACATAGAACGTGGTGAGAAGGCAGCCAGGATAGAGCCCTGCATAAAGGGAAGGCAGCACTAAGGAGTCAGCCAAGATGCTGGGGAAGGAATGAGAGGTAGGAGATGGCCAGGCCGAACAAAGTCTTATTAGGAGAGGCATGTTCAGTCGTGTCAAACAAAGAGGAGTTAGCAAGAGCGTCAAGAGACCATTTGATTAGGCAATAAGGAAGGCACTAGTGTGAAAATAGTTTCATGAGTACCTGACTGCTGAGGGTTGAGGGAGTGAGAGTTAGGCCAAGGGAAGGGCTAGGCAAAGAACAGACAAGCTTTTCTAAAGGTTTTGCAGTAAAGAAAATGAGAAATAGAGGATAAAATGGAAAATATTTTTTATTGTTATTTGCTTTTTCAATTTTCACTTTTTACATTTTTTATGGTTTTTTTTATTGCTATTTTTTTGAGATGGGGTCTCTCTGTGTTACCCAGGCTGGAGTGCAGTGGCACAATCTCGACTCACTGCAGCCTCGACTTCCCAGGCTCAGGTGATCCTCCCACTTCAGTCTTCCAAGTAGCTGGGACTACAAGCATGCATAACCAGGTATTTTTTTTTTCTTTTGTAGAGACAGGATCTTACTATGTTTCCCCAGCTGGTCACAAATGCCTAAGCTCAAGCAATTTTCCTGCCTTTGGCCTCCCAAAGTGCTGGGAGGTGTTACAGGTGTGAGCCACTGCACCTGGCCTACTTTTAATTTTTAAATTTGTTTTAAATGGAGAACACAGGAGGATATTTGTACATAAAAGGAGACTCAATGGAGAAGAAAAACACAGCTAAATAAATAAATAAATAAATGATGGAAATCAGTCCAGAGGAGGTGGGAAGCCATGGGATCAAAACTGCAGATGGAAGTTAGAACTGATGAGGAGGAAGGACTTCTGTTCCTCTGAGACAGGAAAGGAGGAAGGAGATTAAGAAGTGTAGCTCCAGAAACATTTGGAAGTGAAGTCAAAAAGGGTTTGTTCCTACCCACTTTAGTTTGTAAAGTAGATTCTGAAGAAGTAAAATCCTAAACCCAACCAGTTGGTGAGGTCATCTACCAGCCCATGTAGATGACTCAAAGCTTGATGTAACCAGGAAATTTATGGAAGTTATTGATGTGTAATAAATTGACAGAGTGACAGTAGTAGGTCATTTGCTTATATTACAAATCTTCATGAAAAACAAGTTTTAATTCTATTCCTATTTAGAGCATTAATAATTGTAGAAAATTTTACATACATGTTCCCAAAAGCTTGATCTTTCTTTCTCCTAGTTTGTTATAACAGTAAGTTCTCCCTTAGTGCTGTCAATCTTCAGTATCAAACTAGGCATGTGGCAGGATGCTGGTGAGAGAATCATATTAATGATAGACACTAGGAAAATTTAGGCTCAGAGTAATTTGTTAAAATTTGTAATCACATTTTTATTGCATAAAATCACTGTAATATCATTATCATAGTATGTACTATAGAAGAGAAAATATGTGTAGTTAATTGAAAGTGGTTAAATGTCCTCTGGGCTAAAATGCAAAAAATTTTATAGCAAACCTTGAATTTAATTTGAGCTCAAAGTATTAGGTCACTGTACCATTCATTTTTTAAACTCTGACTGAGATAGATAAAATATTCAGATTTCTCCATTTCTCCAAATTTAGTACAAGAATCTTATGAAAGCATTAAAATTGTGTAAGTAATTGTTAGATTGCTTCTTATACAAAAAATATTTATACATTATATGTATAATGTATACAATGTAATGTAAGCTTATAATAATGTATTTGTAATGTAATCTTATACATGCAAATTGCTTGTAGTAAATAATAAGATGTCTGCACATTTAAAAAGAAGAGTAAGATACTCTTAAATGAGGACAAGAATAGTACAGCTTGGATTTGGGCATCAGAGAAAGATACTCTAAACGTGAATATATTAAACAAATCACAGTTTATCAAAGTTTTTAAGTATATGCTTTACAGAAAAAAGAACATCTTCATCGAATGCCTATAGGAGATATATATATGTGTGTGTGTGTATATATATGTATATATGTATATATATGTGTATATATATATGTGTATATACATATATGGGACAAGAAGACATATATATATCATATATATATGAGACAAGAAGATATATATACATATACATATATATGTATATATATACCAGTCTTCTTGTCTCGTATGTTATATATTTGGTGAGATAGTTGGTCTACATTTGTTAAAAATTACCTACTCCCTTCCACATTCCAATGACCACATTGTTAATGCTGGTATTCAGTCTATCACGCTGGTGTTTATTTATACTGCCTATCTTGTGTATTCTTTTATCTGGGATTCAATTTTGCATTTGTCCTAAGAATAAGTTTTCTAAAGCTGAAGCTCTTTTGTCCATCCACTAATGACTTTAAATTAGAAATATCTTTGATCTGGAAGTCCAGTACCATTTGCCCAATATTTTGCTTTGATGCACAAAATAGAACATTACTGGGTGTTTTGAGCATTCTATTATTAGAATTATTATCTTTCAGGTCACACATTCTTAACAGTGACTCCTATTTAAATGCTCTGGGTAAATGAGATTGTATTTGATACAATGATAATAAGTACATTTCAAAAATGCATACTAAGGAACAGTAAAATACATTATTTGGTAGACAAATTCTATGTGGAAAAAAATTTTACAAATTAATGTATGCAAAAAGAAGCAGTTCCTGAATTAGAAACTCTTCATTTACAGGAATGAACTAGTTACAAGAAAATGCAAAAACTAGGGATTACCACAAACAGGGAAAAATAAACAAATATCTAAGTAAATTGAACATATAAAGGAACTGAAATATATATATTTTTGCTCGTGATTGACCTTATAATCTTCTGAAGTAATATCTTTTCCTGCTCATGATTCACCCTAATTTTAATTTCATCAATGATGCCTGCAGGTTATCTGCTGAAACAAGAAGCATAGCTGAAGAATGTGAGCTGTTTTAACAAACTTTACAATTATTTGCTTATCAAATGACTATAGCTTAAAATGACTTCATTATCTTTAGATGATTCAAATAATAGATTAAGAGCAGAACTACAGAAGAGCTGAACTGAGGATATCTTAGGTAGTTCTGGACTTTAAGATCTTGAATGAATAAAATTATTTCAGTGCTTTCTTATGTGTTTAATTTGAGATATTGATAAAGTATGTGATGTGGAAAGAAATATGAGAGAGATGGAGGAGTATAAAGTACATTCATTTTTAAAAAAATTAATTTAAGGCAAGTTCTGAGAATGTTTTTCATACATTAGGCACCTAAGGATCACTTTAGGGAGCTTATTTAAAAAGCAGATTCCTGGGTCTCACAATCAGTTTCCAATGGAGTAGGTATGGGGTGGAGTCAGGAATCTTCATTCTAATCAGCACCCCAGTTGATTCCAAGGCAGGCAATACTCACACTTTGAGAAACACTGTTACTGAGGCTGGTTCTTACAATTTTGTCAAACCTCAGGTCATTGCCACAAGGTAATGGGGCCCAGTGAGATCGATGGTATAGTCCTGAAGGTAAGGCAGTCCCCGTCACATATTCATGAGAACCTAAGAGATACTCCTACTAAATAAGACATTGTTACTATGCATTTATTAAAAATTATATAGCCACCACCAATTGTCAATTATAATTAAGAAGAGCTAAATATAGCAAGGTTTCAAAATCATTTGCAAATGTTAAGGCTAAGTGATACAATGGACTGAGCTAAAGTACTGATTTTATTTCCTTCTTAGGATGACCCAGGCACATGTCAACCCACTTCCATAGTATCTGACTTTAGCTGACTCTGGACCATATATTAATAAGATAATAACTTTCTTTGCCTCAAATAATGATTCATCTTAATCTATAGAATACTAAATAATCTTTAGCTTTAAAATTAAGTCATTTATGAGCACACACACACACACACGCGAAGTTAAATGTAAAGGCACTATGTTTTCTCTTGTGCTCTATGATCTTCAAATCCTCTAAAACAACACTCATTAAAATAAAGACAATTATGTTTCACTAAGAAGCTATCAAAAATGATTTCACTCCTATTTTATCCCTAATTCTATACTCTGTGTTATAATGAGTTTCGTGTTATAATGCATATACCTAGGGTCCTGTTTCATAGAATGTGTTGATAACAGCCTGACATCAACAACACACGAAAGAAAAAAGCACAGAATAGAAAATGTTCAATGCTTAGACGCTCACCTGTGGATCACTTCTCAGTGATCGGCATCAAGGGGATTTTTCAAAACGAAGTTTAGTGCATATGTTGCCAGCAATTCTTATCTACAGAAGAAAAGATGAATTAGAACATATTTTACCAAATACAAGGACTGCTAAAGGAAGTATATACTTCTGAGTAAACCCCACAAGTCGTCAGCCTTATCATGGCCATTAAAAATTAAGCTAGGAGGTTTAGATGTAAATATGTGTATAAATAGACATTTTACCTAAGAATGCAATGAGTCAAACAACAAGATTGAATTCACCAGAAGAGGAAGACTTTTTTTCCTTTTTCCTTTAAATTTTGACATCATTACAGATGATCCATAGCATTTGCAACAATTGTGTGAGGAATTCTCATATATTCTTTACCCAGATTTTCCAAATCTTGTTTTATTCTTCCCTTTGTGTGTATGTGCATACATGTATATACATATACAAATATATGGCTTTTTCTGAACTATTTGAGAAAGGGTCAGATATAATGCCCCTTTACCCTTAAATTCTTCAATATATGTTTCCTAAAAATAAAAATATTCTCTTACATATCATAGTATAATTATCAAAATCAGAACATTTAACACGTACAAAATTACCTAATCTACAGGCTTATTCAGAATTTGCCAACTATCCCAGTAATGTCCTTTAAAGCAAAAGTAAATTCTAAATTATGCATCGCAATCAGTTGTTATGTCTTGCTAGTCTCCTTTGATGTAGAATGATTAATTACTCAATCTGTCTTTCTTTTATGACATTCACATTTGGAGGAATACAGGCATGCTATTTTGTAAAATATCCAGCAATTAGTATTATTCTCATTTTTCCTCATGATTAGATCCAGGTTATTAATTTTGGGCAGGAATGTCACAGGAGTGATGGTGTTTCATTTTCAAAGCATGATATCAGTAGGCAAGTGATGTTGATTTGTTCCTGACATCTGGGATCTGAGAATACCACGGTAACCTTGGTGTTGCTAGGAGATACACTGGCACTCACAGCTGAGACTTGAAGTTCTTTTGTTGAACATAAACTATTAACCAGAACACCAGTCAAGGTCCATTTTATTGAACCAGAGCAATCAGTCAAGGCCACTCTGTGACCTTGTGACAAGACCATTCATTATCAAGTCTGAGCATAGACAAAACCATAAACATTGTCATCATCATACAAATGACTAATCATTCCTTGATCCTGGCTAGTATGCCTGTGGCTTATTTACCAATTACAGCTGGAGCTTCAGTCTGGTCTTCTTTCCTTCTATATTAGATTTAATAAGTTATCCAACCATAGAATTACCCCTGCTTCCTGAGAACATCCAATCCAGAAATTATTTAAATCCTCCACAAAATTATCTAACACAAGCCCAAATCCTATAATTCCTGTCTAACACCTTCTTACTGAGATATCCCCGTGATTTCTCATGAGGTGCATCCTCTGTCACTACAATAATTAATAACTCATCTTGTTCAACTGCAGGTGTGTTCCTGTTGGTCTTAGGCCACAAGGCATTGACACCAGTGATGATAATATCGATCAACTGGTTAAAGTATGTCTGCCAGGTTTATGCAATGCAAAGTTACTATTTTCCTTTTGTAATTAATATGTTTCTTCTGGGGCAATACTTTGAGACTATGTGCATATCCTGGTACCCCTCAAAGTTTCTACCGTTAGTTTTAGCATCCATTGATAATTCTTGTCTGGATTAGTTATTGTGATGATGATTGCCAAATGGTAATTATTCTAGTCATTCTTTCTACAGTAAGGAGTTATATTTCCATCATAAGAAAAAGGTTTCTATTCTCTCCTGCCTATTAATATTGCTGTGGATTTCATTGTATTATTTTATTCAATGGATTAGATCCATTAATATTTTTATTTCTTTTGATGATCAGGTTGTTCCAGTTTGTCCTGTGAAAATTCCTTCAGACTGACCTGTGTGTTCTTCTGACTTGTCCCTACCATTCTTTGTTTGTTTGTTTGTTTGTTTGTTTGTTTGTTTTAGAGACAGGGTCTCTGTCACTCAGACTGGAAGGCTGAAGTGCAGTGGACTGATCACAGCTCACCACAGCCTTGAACTCCTGGGGCCAAGCGATCTTCCTGACTCTGCCTCCCAAGTAGCTACAGCTGGCTAATTTTTTTATTTTTCTAGAGATGGGGGTCTTGCTTTGTTGCCCAGGCTGGTCTGAAACTCCTGGCTTCAAGAAATCCTCTCACTGGCCTCCCAAAGTGCTGGAATTACAGGCATGAGCTATTGCACCCAGCCCCTATCATTCTTTGAGCACTTCTTTACTTGCTGCCACCATAAAATGTTCCAGGCTCATCTTGTTCTTTCCCAACCCCAATTCTACAATCAATAATTTTTTTTATGTAGCCCCTGTTCCTTTTAGTGTATAGAATGGTATTTAGAAATAAAAATCTGGACACTTTGCATGTAATTGCTAGTGGGGTGCCATTGCTTCTAGATTATCTCAGCAGACAGACGTAGAAAATACCTTTATGACATACAAACACACATATGCATATATGCACACATGCGTACATACATTTATATCTATTTCCGTGTCTCTCTCATGGAAAATCATGGTTTATTACATAAACCATGAATTTATCCTAATACCTGTAATCTGACCCCACAGGGGTCCTTCCAGAGTTGAAAGGCATTTTAAGTATACACACACATCATGAATGGGAGGCAAAAAACCATGTTCCCAACAATGGCAGCTTTAACCGAAGAGCATTTTACAAGAATGAAGAGCATTTTACAAGACTGAAGAGCATTTTCCAGGTATTAGTATGGTTCTTATGGCCATGTGTGTCCAGTACTGTCTATTGGTAATTCCTCTTATAAAGCCCTGCTTACTGTCTACCAATAGTTTCTTCCAGCCGCCTTCCTCAAAGTTAGAGATCAGTCCTTCCAAATGTCAGCAATGGTACTAGTGCCCTTCATATCGGCAATGGGCTTCCACCAATCTTAAATTGATTTTTGCTCACTTTTCACTGACAATCAGTTTGAAGAAGTTTTAAGTCATGGTAAAACTTGCATACAGAAACATCTTTTGTTTTTTCTTTGCTACGGTTGCAGCACTATCACTAGCATTCTGCTGTCAGCCTTAGAATTCAAAGTTGTTTGCCAGGACACAAAGTTGGTGATAGAAAACAAGAAGTCTGCACATAGCATATTAATCATGAGAGTGGTATCAGGGTGGATATTATTTCCTCCAAAATTTTTTACCTGCAATCTTTGTTATCCTTTGATCATAGACTAGCCTGGATATCACAAAGTATGCACAGAAGTCACAATATCTCAGTAGAGGCTCATGGAAGTATTCACAGGAAGATTTACTAATGACCACAGGACAAAGCTATTTTATAACTTCTGTTCAGTGCTCACTGCACTTACACCATGAGAAAAAATATGCGTATATACACGCATACACACACACACACACACATACACACACACACACACACATTAATAGTATGTCCTAATGGATTGTTTTATTTTTATTTATTGTATTTTTTGAGACAGGGTCTCACTCTCTTCGAGGCTGGAGTGCATTGGTATGATCATGGCTCACAGCAGCCTCGACCTCCCGGACTCAAGAGACCCTGCCAACTCAGCCTCCTGAGTAGCTGGGAACGCAGGTGTGTGCCACTGTGCCTGGCTGATTTTTGTAGGGACAGGGTCTCCCTATGTTGCCAGTCTGGTCTCAAACTCTTGGGCTCAAGCAATCCTCCCGCTTGGCTTCCCAAAGTGCTGGGCCACCACACCCAGCTTTATTATTATTCTTGACCAAACAACTTTAATTTCTGTCTTCAATATGAAGTCTACAATCTCTTGAAATGCTCACCTGGCTCTTGTAAAGGCTGAGTCTACACTTTCAGTCTTCATCATTAGGAAGGATGCCTAATTCTACATCTGTCCACTGGGAAGACTCTGGATATAGAAAGTGACCCAGCACAGCATCTGAGTCTCATGACAAAAGCACCAGAGAATCCAGAACCATATTGTTGCACTGAGGACCTCAGCCTAGATCACCTGGGATCTGGTCAGTTGGGGAAACTGGATATGCACACCACCGCCCATCCGACACACTGTGCCACCTCCAGCCACCTGTGCAGCAACCTTGGAAGAGGCGGCCTCCAACACCAAGAAAAGGCCAGCTGGGTCAGAGCCCACGTGCAGCCGCGTCCCCACAATGTCACCAGGCTGCCGTGCTATCCATCATGTGACGGATTGTTTAATATGCGTGTGTATTTATGTTTATGGGTTTATGTGCTTGTGCAGGAAAAATAGTTCAGAGAATATCGGTGCTGACCAAGGAAGTGTGAAACAGGGCATTGTGATTAAAATGTGTAACTGTGAAAGGAGGAGAGGTAGAAATGGGAAATTAAATGAAAGGGGAAAGGGGGCTGAATTACCTGAATGTTGTTTAGATGTCATCCAGCAACAAAATATTAGGTTGGTTCAAAAGTAATTGCGGTTTTGCCATTGAATTTAATGGCAAAAAATGCAATTGCTTTTGCACCAACCTAATAGTTTCCTTTACTTGTGATATTTTAAACATTGTTCTTGTTATTTCTTGAATATGTAAATGAGTATAACTGAAAATATACAAGGATGTATAGAAACAAAAAATGGATTTAGAATAAATATCTTAATTAATTGCACAGGCACCAACAAGAATTTACACATTCAACATTTATTCTAGCATTAAGATTGGCAGAAGACAGCTTCATCATCTTTCTGTTTTTTGAGATGGAGTCTCCCTCTGTTGCCAGGCTGGAGTGCAGTGGCATGATCTCGGCTTACTGCAACCTCTGCTTCCTGGGTTCAAGCGATTCTCCTGCCTCAGCCTCCTGAGTAGCTGGGATTACAGGCACATGCCACCAAGCCCAGCGAATTTTTGTATTTTTGGTAGAGACAGGGTTTCATCATGTTGGCCAGGCTGGTTTCAAACTCCTGAGCTCGTGATTCGCCCGCCTCAGCCTTCCAAAGTGCTGGGATTACATGTGTGAGCCACCACACCCGGCCCATCATCTGTCTTTAAAACTATTTTTTTTAAATACTGTTTTCACATTTTTTAAATTTTTACATTTTTCACCTTTTCTTCAGATTTTCACAGAGCATATATTGTATCATAAGACTGGTATCAGAAAGGATTATTTTTTCCTCTCAACCTTTTTACCTTCAAGGAACTGAAATAACTAGACTTTATATATTTTCCTTTTTACTGTGCAATTTTTGCTACATAGTACTAAATGCATTCATTATTGTTCAAATGAATATAAGCTATATTTAAGAGCAATTTCTAAATATGTTATTTCAAGCAGAGATTAATTTTAAATAAGAAAACCTGACCTAGGTTTTCTATTTTCTTTGTAAGTTTCTAGGTTTACTATTTTCTTTGTAAGTTGATGGCTGTTAATATAAATCTGACCTATTTTTTCCTTGCACATATAACCAAGAGGAATGTGGGCTTAATGAGGAGACTGAAAATTGTATAAGAACTGTTATTAATCATACTTTCATAATTACTGCAATTATATTTAAAAAGAAAAGTCTGCTTATGAATTTCAGGTGACACAGAATTCTACCAGATTTTTTCATTTATTTCCTTATTTACAGGACAAATATTTCAGTCCTGCTGTGCTGGGTGTATACCAGCCTTCCCTAACAATCCAGGTCAGTGTGTGACAGGAATAATATAAAGTCCTTTAGGAGCTCAAAGTAGGATAAAATGTGGCCAAGACTGATTCATATTGTATAAAGTTGAATTGCTTTAACCATATTAGTGCTAGATCACAGCAAAGCCCCAAACACACATGTACCTCATATCCCATTTATCCCTTGGAGGCCTCAGTGTCCAACTCTGCACAAAGAAATAATGCAAGAGATAGTATTCTAGCTATAGAGAGGGAACTGTGGGTAGGATCAATTCCCTTACAAAAATAGAACCAAATTTCAAGTAATGAAGAATGAAAATCCAATCTAATATTTAGAAACTATAAACATATTTTAACAGAGACTTTGTACATAAGTTCCAGTATTCTATTCAAACTAGCATCAAACTAAGCTCAATAGAACCACAGTATTCAAATCTGAATCACTTTCAACTTAGTGCTAGGTGAGGGCAAAGCCCAAAACCCACATGTACCACACACCTCACTTATACCTGGGAAGCATCAATGTCCAACTCTGCACAAACAAGTAATGCAAGGTAGGATGCCACCTGGTTGCAGGGAGACAGACTGTAACAGGCATTCCTTCCCAGAGGCATGGTGATGCAGTACAGTGCTCAAGAGCATAGACTTAGGGGCTGCATTGCCTGGGTTTGAATCCCAGCCAACCACTGTGACCTTAGGCAGATTATCTCATCACTGTGTGCTGTACTTCCTACCCAGTATCCTAAGTATGTTGCCAGGAGGAATAAGTGAATTAGTAAGTGCTGAAAAGCTATGACTGGGTCAGATAGACTTTCAGTAAATAATACCTGTTGAATGAAATGATTAGCTCAATATATGCTAACAAAGTCTTTCTACATGTAGAATACTGTGCTTGGATTTAGAGGCTACTTCCTATGAAGATCTTTAATATGGTTGAGGTAAAATTACTTGATAAGCTTTAAAAAATATGATACAGTGACCATTTAATTTCCCAATAAGCCTATGTCCTCTGTACTCACTTTCACATATTTAATCAGTAGTAAGTGGGGAATATATACTTATGCTATATTAAGTGCTGGTAATATGAAGTGTGAGACATCGTCTCTGCCCTGAAGGGCCTTAAATTGTAGCGGAGGAGGTAGGATATAATAAATAAGGACGAAAAAGGGGCTATGTATCCAGCAATAACTGCGTGGCATAGATAGAAAGTATATTTATATGGGTACTGATATACAAATGAAAAATTTTTATCTGTGGCCTGATTTTTTTTTAGTTAAACACGACTGACTCAATTATTTTCCCTTGAATTGCTGTTCCAGTTTTATATTATTACTCAATGCTTGGTATTTAATTGGTCCACTCTAGTTCCCAAAATTCTATTTCTCTGTGATTTGTTTTGTTATTGTCTTGTTTTGTTTTATTTTCCTCCTGAGTTTCAAAGCAACTGGAGTTCTGGATCTGTGTCTCAGTTCTTTTTTTTTTTTTTAAATCTCCAGTTCACTTTGTGCAGTACATTATATGTATTTAGCACTTACATTATATGTAAGTGCTAAATAAGGACATATTTTGTTTAATAAATATAATATATAGGAACCAAAAGTTAATCTGCAAAACCAAGTCTGAATCAAACCTCTTTCCAATTTAAAATATATAGAGATTCAGTTCAGTTTGCCTATCTACACTGGAGGAAGATGTAGACAACTGGTAGAAGGCATGAAAGAGAGATGTAAGAGTGCTGCAAGGTTTACAAAATAGATTTTATAAAAAGCTAAAGAAACTGGTGTTGTTTAGCCACAAAACAGAATCTAATGAGTGAATGTCACTCAACAGTTGTCTGGCAGATCAGTGCCACTGGAAGGAGAGTACAGATGATTGGCTTTAAACTCTATCCAGAATTATTTAAACCAAAAATTAGAAAAATATATAAACTGTAAAGTACTGCTACTCCAACAGTGGTCTGTGGGCAGACAGCGTCTGTGTAGCGTGGGAGCTACTTAGAATTGCAAATTTGTGATCCCCACCCCAGGCCTACAGATCTGTTTTAACAAGCTCTCCAGGTGACTCTAATGTAAGTGCAAGATTCTTAAGCAGTGCTCTAAAGAATCTTTGCTGGGGAGGGTGCACTTGAAATACTCATCAGGGAAGGTTGGGCCTTTCTTTTCACAAGATTGCTAATCTGAATAGCAATCTGACTGACTGAGTGATTATCTCTGAACACAATCTAACATGGTGAGTGCTCTATTCTTTAGAAGTGTTACTTGCCTGACCCCCACTGGACTTCCCAGGCACCCAGCCTGCCTCTCAGCCTCACTTATTCCTATGATATGGGAACAAGTGAGCGGCTCAGTTTCAGGAGTCTTGAGCACCTTTTGCACCTTGAGAGCATGGCTGTCAGCTAAAAATTCCAGGAGAAGCAGAAGTACTGAAAAATGTGATAGAGGGAGATAAAGCAAAATGTCAAGAAGATAAAGTGTGACACAAGTAGGGAAAATGGGTCAGGAAAAAATTAAAATAAGAAGTATGAACAAGAGAATAGAAGAATAAAGACAGGTGAGCTTATTTAAAGTTAGAATTGGGTTAAATGAGAAGCAAGGGAAAGAAAGGGAATTTAAAGGTAATATGTGAAGAGTAATGGAAAACCTATCTGATAGAGATGCTGTAAGAGTTAAGTGAGTCAGTATGTGTAAAGTGCAACCATGCTTGGCAAACAGTGAGCACTGTGTATGGGCTAGTTATGACTGTGACTTCAATGAATAAAAAGAGGTGGAAGAGTAAGAGGTAAGAAACCACATTAGTTAGCCATGCCCCACGGTTAATACAGGCACAGCCCTTTCTGAAGTAAGGTGATGAAACAGATGACTGACCTCTTAGAAACTTTCACAGTTAACAGTTATTACATGGCTAGTATGCTACACAGCACGTATACACACACACACACACACACACATACATGCACACATACCACTTGTGTATATATATATAATTATGTAGAAAATACCTGTGGTATTTAATACTTTTTTTGCAAATTGAATAGGTATTTTTATTGGCATGTCTAGGCCATTATTTTAAAAAAAATCATCTTTAAGTTACATGAAGAATAATTTAAAAAATAAATATTTATAGAGTAGCATAGCTACAAACAAATTTCATTAAATTTTTGTTTTAAAATGTAGACATACTTTAAATTTGACAAAAACTCATAAAAATAAAAAAATCCTGTTTTGGCTGACCTAGCATACCTAAACCCAATAGGGTGCCTTCTTAATTACTTCCTTTAATGTGTTGAACTTGGTTTCAGTATTCATTAGAGATCAGACTTTCAGGAGAATTTCTTATTAGCTTTGGCTAAATTATTATTGATGAAATGTACAGAAAAATAGAAAATATCAACTGATAATAGATAATCTTTTGAAAGTATTAAATGAGAATACAAGAAAGAAAATAGATCTCGTAGAATCTAGGAATGGAAACGACAGAGGATCAGACTAAGTCTTGAAACACATGAGTGAAATTCACCTCTCTCACTGGCCAATGTTGGTATTGATTGGCACCATATGGCTTGCTCAAAGCAACTAGAAACATATTTACTCCTTCCTTCTTAGTGAAGTTACCAGATGCCCCACCTCCGAAAAGAATATGATTTTTCTCCAATTTTACTTATCCAGAAAATAAAAATCTTAAATTTAAATGTATTGCAGCTTTCCTGATTGCATCATGATTGAGCACACCCAGGAAATGAGTCATTCAAAGATACTCAGAAAGATGCTTTGTGTGTTGTTCCCTGGTACTTAGAGAAAACATCAAGAGCGAATTACTCTTTCTACGGTGAGTTTATTAAGAAGAATAACAAACCATGCTCTTTGTTCTCTGGAAAATTTCAGCAATGTGTGTGTGAGGGTTGAGGTGGGTGGACGGTGGTGATATTGCTGACCAGAAGGTAAGCCATGTGGTGGCCACATGCTTCTCTGGTTGACAAAATCAGAAAGTGTATTTCTAGGTCTAGATATTTCCCAGGATTTAGCTTTTCAAGTGTAGATTCCAAGATTATCCAGACACTGAAAACGGCCATTCTACTTTTAAATTATTGTATTCTGGAGTAATGATTCAGTTCAACATCCCACACTGTTGGTGCCAGTTATCCAGCTGATTAGAGCAAGTTGTTAATGAGTACAAGGTTGGAATCACACAGGGTAATTAGTTTTCAGTCCCTTGTACAAATGGCTCTAATCTCAGGACGTTCAAAAAATGCATTTTACAAATAACAAAGGGGACAGGGTGAGAAAGTAGAACTAACTGGTAGAAATTTATCAATATCCTTAGAGATAAATAAATATATCCCATCTGCTTAAATACTCAAGTTAGAAAGTGGGCAGGTTTAGATGACACAAGCTTTAGGCCACTATATATGTTTTACTGAACTGTACAACCATCTCCTTCAGAAACCTAAAAGTGGGCACAAATATCTAACTCTGAGTCCTACTTACACAAGAAGAAGCATCATTCAATGCCAAATACTTAAGGAACTATTATATTCTTACGGAAAATATACTTTGTTCAAATGCTGAATACTCACTGAAATGGAAATTAAAGAGCAATAAAATATGTAAGGTTTGCTTTTGTTGGGGAGGGAAAAAATAGCTTCCCTCTACCTTCCTAGGTTCTTTTGCTGGGGTACCAATGAAATTGACAGAAGATAGATTAACAGGAGAAAAACCATATTTAATTTCTTATGTGCACACAGGAGTCCCACAAAATATGAGACTTGAAGAAGTACCAGATGATAGAAGCTTCTATTGTATCTTGAGCTACAGTAAAGGAATAGGGGCATGGTGCTTCTAGTGGATGGTAGAGAGAGGTTGCAGGAGGGTGAGGGGAGGAAATGTGTGATGAATACAGATTGTCTTATTATGCAGATAAAAAGTCTCTTAGGTAATAAAAGTTGTCTCACAGCAGGTCTCTTTCTGGTACAGATACTTTTACTCATGTAGACTTCCTTCATACATGTAAGTTTCTTTTATAAAAGGGGAGCTTTTCAGAGCTACTCCTGTGTCTGCAATTTCCCAGAATTTCCCACTCAATTTCCCACTCAATTTATGCAATTTCCCACTCAAAATATGCCAGAGAAGCAGATTCTGGTCACCTACAGTCATATTTTGGGGTGGAGCATCCTAAGCCCCAATGCTGTCTTTTGACAAAATGCCTCTATTATGATACAAATGAATTTCCTTGGGCACAGAAGTGTTTGTAAAAGGCAGAAAACTAAAAATAACTAGACATTTGGAAAGTTTATTAGTTAAGTCATTGAGAGTCATTAAAAATTTCCTTTTTGGGGGTGTGGATGAACAAGAAAATAATAATCTATCAATCAGAGCTGGATTTCAGGAAGTCTAGTTTAAGCATTATTTTAAATTATAGATTAGGAAAAAATAGTCGCTCAAGTCAGAGAGAGCAATTAAAATGCTATTTTAGTAGTCTAGTTCTAGATTTTCTAGACTTGTGTTCTGTGGAACACTCAGGAGATGTTAATTGATGTGGCATCAGAAAAATGCTTCCATTGTAAAATAAATTTGTAAACCCCTATATATTATACTGCCTTAGAAGATATTTATATTTTTTAAATGAAAGGTTCAGAGAGGATACTCAGCAATAAAACCTAGTTACTTTCATCTGACCCAGTGTCTACCTCCAAAACATATTTGCTCCTGAAGAACTCTTTTCATTTTCTTTGTATGCTTCTATGAACCTTTGATAGACTGCAAGAGAGCAGATTGGAAATACTGGTCTAAATGAAAGCACACACTAGCATGGTGACAGTGGAAATGAAATAAAAGAGAAATATTTAAAATTTTTGAGGAAGACTTACCAGACTTTACTCTGGATTTAGGGACCAGGGAAGAATCAGAGAAGATTGAGGTTTGTGACATTGGTTACCAGGAAAATGATGGTATCATTGACATTGATAGGAAAGAAAACAGAGGTGGCTTTGGAAGAAGAGATGACAGATTTGCTCAAAAAATATTTGTTTAGTACAGTTGTGCTAAGCACTGTGCTATAGCTGTGCTAGGCACTGGGCCACGGATATGACACAATCCATTTTCTAAAGGAACTTCAAGTCTTCACTCTTCTTTATCATCCAATTAACATTTTTTAAAGCACTATGCTAGATGCTAGGGGCTAAAAGAAATAAAATAAGAAACCATCCTTGTCTTTAAGAAGTCTCAGGCTGGTAGCTGAAACAGTCATGTATAAAAATGATCGCTAAACACAAAATACTATACAAGAAATATGCCAAAATATTTTGGATGTCATTTTGTTGAATTTCAGGAGTAGCAGTGGGCATCCAAGTGGAGTTATCTGTCAGGAAGCTGGCAGTTTGGCCTGGAGTACAACAGAGGAGTTATGGCTAGCCATGTTTGTATTTTTCAGAACATTCACTTAGATGAGAAGGCTAAGGGCAGTCAGCAGAGGGGACCCAAGCCCAGTATCCAGTGTATGGGAAGAGGATGAGGAATAGGAGCCCCAAAGATGGAACAGCGAGAATCCTGGATTTATACAGATAGTGAAATATTAAAGTAGAATTCAAGAAAATGAAGGGGCTCATTTGGTATGGTCTCAGTCTTCCTAGGAGCATCAAGAGGTAAACTGAAGCAAAGGGAGAATAAATGATCTTTAACAAGGGATTTATCAAGGATCCAATTTTGCAGAGAAATCCAAGGAATTTGAAGAGTGAGAGAGAGTGGTTCTGGCAACTGGGCATTACTCAAGAGAGCAGAATTAGAGGGTAGAAATCAGATTACAAGAGATTTAAAATCCAACGGATGGTGAGGAACTAGAGGCAGTGATTGCATAAAACAGTTTATAGACTCTGAGCCTTCTGCTGAAGAAATGATAAGGAACATTAAGGAGTTAAGTGGCAGGTTTAAGAGTTTTGGTTTTTGCTTTTATTTGATATTTGGGATAAGGACACTTAAGCACTTGTCTAAGGAGAAGAAGGGACTGGCAGGGTATTAAAGACGCAAGAGACAGAGTCAAGGATGAGATGCAGTGGGATGTTACCAAAGCTTTGAATGGAGCTGTTGTTATCTTTGGAAAGAAGATGAAAGATTTCCTTCTGTAAGAGTGGAGGAAAGAGAACAGGGTGAACAAAGATGAAGAATAGTAAAGGGAAGAGGGAGGGAATTCAAGTTTTTGTTGACTGATATGAAGAGTCTGAGAAAACAAAAATATGAAATTGTAACAGCAGATAATCCCCAGTGTATTTAGGAAGAGCAGAAAAAGTTTCATTCAAATGCCAGTGCCAATGCCCTGGGAGTCAACTAGAAATCACTACAGGTATTGCTAATCATGGTAGTGCTAGAGGAATTCTTGGTTGTGCAGGATTTTTGTCTTGCGCATTTATAGAAAGCTTAGCATCACTGGCTCTTCTCCACTTGTGTTAGTCCATTTTGTATCACTATAAAGTAATATCTGAGAATGGGTAATTTATAAAGAAAAGAGGTTTAATTGAATCACGGTTCTGCAGACTGCACAGGAAGCATGGTGCTGCCATCTGCTTAGCTTCCGGGGAAGGATTCAGGGAGCTTACAATCATGGCAGAAGGTGAAGAGGTGGCAGGTGCATCAGGTAGCAAGGGCAAGAGCAAAGTGGGAGAGGCGCTACATTTTTTAACAACCAGGATCTCATATAAACTCAGAACAAGAATTCAGTCATTATCAGGAAGACAGTACCAACATATTCATGGAGGATCCACCCTCATGACCAAAATATCTCCCACCAGGTCCTACCTCCAACACTGGGGATTACATTTCAACATGAGTTTTAGAGGTGATAAAGATCCAAACCATATCACCACTAAATGCTTGTATTACTCCCTTGTCATTGTGATAACCAAAAAACACTGATGCTAATTTCCAAGAGTCCAGGTTGAGAATCACCTTGCAGATGTTAGACAGCCTGACAATACAGCAGATTCAAATGACCTTCCCCAGAGACACTTCGGAACCCAAGATCAGAGTTCAGTCATTTTAAAAGCTTTGATAAGGAAAGAGTAAAAGAAATATTTCTAGATATGCTTTTCCATTCATTGAGAATATTTATGTCATTCCCAATCTATCTCCACAGGCCTATTTCCAGTAAGAGCAATCCCTCAGCACACATAGTATTTTAGAGCTAAATACAGTTGCACAGACTAATTATTGCCAATTCAGAGACATTTTTATAGGCAACGTACATCTGAAACCTGATGCTAAGCCTGGCCCTGAGCCCAGGATGTTGGATGGTGGGGGCAGGACCAGAGTAAAAGTACCATGAAGGAGGCTAAAAGGGAATTGGAGAACTTAGCCTTTGGGAAATTCCCTGCTAAGGTCTCAGCTCAGAGCACTAGCACCCAACACAAACATGGGTCAGGTTTTGGGAGTTTGAAAATGCAGCTTCTGACCTGCCTCAACAAACACAGTCCTAGAAATACTGACATAGTAACAGAGCTGTCGATGGAAGAGTTTTACCAGCCCATGCAGAGAAAAGGTCTAAGTTAAAGATAGCCTCTTATCAAAATAACTCATGGAGACTGATAGTATTATCTCAGAGCTAGACCTCAGCTTCTGCTTATCTGGTTTTCTTATGTTCATTAAGAAAGTCTCGGTATGCCTTGCTAACTTGTCTGATGATGACATTGGCCTTCCCTGACCTCGTCCTATATAGCTAAGCCAATGGGCTTCATCCTCCATAGCTTTGCCCTATTTTGACCCTAGTGTACTGAATTATGGCCCTCAATTAAACTTGCCAGTGGTTCTTCAGTTGCGATCTCAGTCCATTTCAAACACTTTTCCCACTCAAAATACTGATGGTGATCTGTCTGGTTTTGGTCTCTGCCTATGTTCCCACAACTCATGCATAAATCTTCTTAATGCAATGCCCTGCCTTCTAATTCTTGTTTATTAAAGTGAAGTAGCACATTCCAGCCCCCATAGCTATTGGTCTGACATTTCCAAATGTCTAAAGTAACCAAGGCATTCCATAAGACCTACATTTATATGAAGATGGGGCTTTCAATGGCTTTATTTTAGGTGAAGAAATGCCAAGAATAAAGTATAGCTTCACTGTTGTTTTTAGTTAAGTACAAAATGCTAATGAGCTAAAAAAAGAAAACTTGCAGTGTGCTTAAGTAGGATCATATTCCAAAATCAAAGACTTTAGAAAAGATTATTTATAAAGAAATACTAGCATCTATCATACTCCTTTAGGTTTGAATGTTCTAATTGTTGATTTTGAAGTGTAAATAAATTCATTTAATTATTTTGATCCTCTGTTCTCAAACTGTTAAGGTATATGAATTTCTAAAATCAGCTATCAGAAAATGAAGTTAAATAATTATAAAATAATAAACTGATTAAAAGAAAAATTACAGTTTATTTGTTATTGAAAATGTTAATTTTTAACAAAAACATAACATAATCATATCAAACAGATATATAATTTAGAATTTTACATGCACATAATATCTCATATTTTGAATATATTTCTTTTTTTTTTTTTTCGAGACAGAGTCTCGCTCTGTTGCCCAGGCTGGAGTGCAGTGGTGGGATCTCAGCTCACTACAACCTCTGCCCCTCCGCCTCCTGGGTTCAAGCAATTCTCCTGTCTCAGCCTCCTGAGTAGCTGGGCTTACAGGCACCCACCACAATGCCTGGCTAATTTTTATATTTTTAGTAGAGACGGGGTTTCACCATGTTGCCCAGGCTGGTCTTGAACTCCTGACCTCAGGTGATCTGACCGCCTCAGCCTCCCAAAGTGCTGGGATGAACCACCGTGCCTGGCCTTGAATATATTTCTTATACTTTAAAAAAAACTCTTTAATTTGAAGAAAATCAGACTGTTTACATTTCACTTAGAGTGAGCAACTGAAATAGACTCCAATTTCATTAATATAATTTTTCCAGCATATGATACAATAATAAGATTTCTGACACTGAGGCAATGTCTAAAGACATCACATGCAACATTGCTACACTAAGTCCTATAATATAAACTTAGTTTTTCTATACTTGTATTTCTTTAAAATATGTCACACTTTGTATTTTAATTACATGGTAGATCATGTTTCTTCCTGTCAAGTCCTACCATTTCTACCAAGATTTTCCCAGCCCATGTCTCTCCCACCTACTAGGTTTAATGTTTGAAACACCCATTTGAGCATTTATCCCCCAAAGGGTCTCCTATTGACTTCTAGATGCTGCAAACCCTGTCAATTTCACAAGTGTACAAAGAGTGTCAAGCAAGGCCACCAGTTCATTTTGGAGGATAACGATCGTGTTTTCTGTTTTCCTGTATCCTCCAAAATGTGGACAAAAGGTAAAAGTCCTAGAATTGGAATAAAAACATTTGATCTCCTAATTCGAAATCGATACTCAGGACTATTTATAAACCCAAAATATAAATGTGATAATTTAGCCACTTAAATTGAGCCATGCCTTATTACTGATTTTCCTTCAGGTTGCTCTTTATGCAGAATATTTTGGAAGTAATCTCCTATGACTTGATCAGTTAGACATATTTTTAAGTATGGATAGTAGACAGGATGCTGTGTATGATATCTATTATATACAAAACATCACATTAATAAGCACATATGCTGAAGATGAATGAGATGACTAGCTAGTTTGAAGTACAGTATCAATCTGATTTTGAGATAATACTCTTTATTGGGTGGCCAGGGTTGGGGATGAGAATGGCAGGGGTTGTGGGATGTAGACTGGACAGGCTGTTGCCATCACAGTGAATCTGTTGATAGTGAATGTCACTCTTCCTGCTTTCATGACATCCAGAGATTCTCTAATTTAGACTTTCCAGATTTAGGTATATCCAATTTAAGATATACCTAAATATTGTACAAGACATACTTATGTATAAAAAGTTATTTATTGTTTATCTGAAATTCAAATTTAACAGGGAGTTCTATATTTTTTCTGGCAACTCTAAGTATCTCAAGGGGTGTTATGAAACTCTAATAACATTCATTTCTTTTAATTTTTGAAACTAAGCATATGCTATATAGGTGCAACTTGCAAAGAGAGGATTAAAGATTAACAGAAAATCAAATGAATAGTGTTAGGATATTAATTTCAATAGACTGTAAGTTTTATGAGGTCAAGAAACTTGACCATCATGCTCACTGATGTAACTCCACTCAAAGTAATGTTCTAGGGAATGGTAAAGGCTAAATAATTTTTGAGTGAAAAATAACAGAAATACATATCTTAATTTTTTAGAAAATGCAAATTCTTCTCTTTTATCATCAGTAATAAATGGTTGGCTAGCTCATTTTTTTAGTTACCTCAGCTCAAATAACTTGGCAGAAGCTACTGGTGAAGCTGAAGTCCACAAACTGGCTTTGGCCATAATCCAGATACCTTCCCAGGTGTAGACAAAGTGTACATGGAGCCACTGTTTATAAAAATACAAATATGGGCACCTTTAATAATAATTTGTACACTTTCATTCTTTTCAGCTTATAAACTCACTAGACAATAGAAATTTAGGTCCACTCTGATTTTTGCATATTAATTTTATAAAAGGAAAATAGCTTTTACAGTCCACCTAAAGGCATTTATTAGAAGATAGCCTCATTATTCTTGGGATTTCAGTAGCAAGATAAGTGAGGTTAAAAAGGAAGAAGAAGTTATAAGGGAAGGATCTGGCAATTTCTAGAAAGAAAAAAGAAAGAAATTTTAAGAGGGAAAGATAGTTTTTAAGTATATATAAATAAGGAAATATATGTGAATAAAAAATAGAAACATGGTGATAATGAAGAAATACTGTACTATTTAGAGAATACTTAGAGAAAAGAAAAAGGGAGCTCTTAACAAAAGACCAATTAATAGAATGAATAAATTAATACTATGAAATAGGAGTAGATTTTCTGACCTCACATATGTTTAATATATTTCTTTTTTGCCAAAATGAATTCTTCAGAGCCCCAGCTTATCTGAAGCATACATTTCTTCTCTGTTATGTTGGTAAGAAAATGGCTTTGAAGCAATTGACTAATTAATGTTATTGAATACAGTAAACACAGATTTTAATTGTTTGATACAAATGAAAACATTAAATGACTGCAATCAAGTTTAGAGACGGGCAAAAATGTTTTTGATAAGCAAAAGCACACATATATGTGCAGAGTTGCCTTTGTCCTGCTTCTTGCATTGGCCAGATCTTCGAAGAGATGTGTGAGTGAAGCACTTGGTAGATCTATGAATGGAAGAAAATTGAAGACATATACCAAAAAATAAAAAGATGGTCCTATGGAGTGTGGTTGTTCTAACACTGAAGTGACAGAGAGCAGCTTAGCTGGTCAAAGTTAGACAGTCCCTTTTTGGAGGAATCTTCTCTCAGCACACTAGGTAAAAGACATGTTTCTTTAGCCCTCCAAAAATACCTAACATTTATAAGGCGTAATTGCGTGTTTTGCTTAAGAAAAAAAGTCCAATTTTTAGGTAAAGCCAATAATAAAGTGAGAGTAGCTGAAATAGCCCTGCAAAAATGCTAGAAAGGAAAAGAGATCTATCATGTCAAGTAAACAAATGGGAAGCATAACATTTCAGATTTTTTTCTTTTTATAATGAATTCATGGAAATAATTACCTTTTGTCTGCATTCTAAATTCACATCTCATCTTCATGGGAGACTAAAATTTTCTAGATTATCACTGAGGTTGAATAGCATTTACTTATGCAGAGAACCATACAATGCATACCAGTTCACAAGATAAAAAATATGCAAAACTAGTAAGACCTCCTTATTTTGAATTAGTAAGAAAACCATTCCAAACAAGTGGAGAAAAGCCACCCTCAGTTATAAAATATCCTTAGAGCAAATTTCATAGGGGTACAAAAATTAAAATTAAGCTAAGAAGCTTATGGACAATTACAGTGTAAGTCCTTTGAATATATAGGCAACCCTCCCATTGCACATTTACAGTATGCACAAATTTTAGTTATTACAAATTAGTTGAATAGTGCTAGGCTCCCAAAAATATGATTCCTATTTCAGTTACCATAATATATTAACTGGGTGTAATTGCATAACTATTACAGTTCATGCACACACAGCAAACCATGTAGCTGTGTTGCTTCCTTGTCTCCCAGCGATAAACTCACATGACATTTTACAAAAATGCAAGAGAGAACTGGCCAAGAAAGACGAAAGTGCACAAATAAATGTTATGTGATAACACTGGAAGTAAAATCCGAATCCGTTGCAAATGTAACTATAGAAGAAAGAGCAGACAGGGAGAATGTTGACACTGCTGACCTTTTAGAGACTCCAGAGAAGGCAAATTTATCCATGTAAGTGAGGAAAGTGATTGTGACTAAAAGGATGAAGATGTCCCAGGGGTAGTGATGCTAGCCAAAACAGATAAACAAACAAAGCTTCACATTAAAGGAATTCTCGGAGATATTTCACAACATTTAAAAGCACAGAGGATAAAATGTTGGAAGTAGATCCAAATGTGGAAAGGAATATGAAAAGTCAGAGTGGATCTGTGGATTTATTTTAGCTACCTAAAGCTGACTGTAAAGGTTGAGAGTTTTGCAAAGTTCTCCCTCTCTTTCTCATGTTAATGGAAATTAACATTTCCATTTCGTGACTACTTTCCACAATGATTGCCTTTTCTGTACCCTTCCCACCTTCTCTAGAGTGTTAGATCTCCCCCAGCTAGGATAAGATCATTTCCCTGAAAGTCTACCTCTCAAAATCCAATCTAAAATTTTAGACTTCCACTTAATGTAGGCCTATCTTTGATTTATGCAACAATAACCTTTATACTTGCTTTGACCAAGTGGAATGTAGGTCATCATTTTTTTCCCCATGAATCTCAGTCTAGTCAGTATCTTCCATGAACTCAACCCTAAGCTCACACATGTATGCCACACTCAGGTTCTTACCAATCACAGACCTCAGATTAAACTGTTAGTACTTCCTGTCAAAGTAGTGTACATACTTCCCATATTATACTTATGTCTGCCAACAATATACTAGGAGATAGAATCAGTAATGAAGAATGAGAAAAATAATTGATTTTGTAGAAAATATCAGGTAGAGAAAAGGAACATACCTTTTAGGTCATCATCTATCCTGGGAGAATTTGTATGAAGCCAATATCTCCAGTGTAAAGGTGAGATTTTCACGAAAGAATTCAGCACGTTCCCCATTAATGTGGATAATGACTTGGAAAAAAAATTGTTTAAAAAAATTCATTTGGCCGGGCACGGTGGCTCAAGCCTGTAATCCCAGGACTTTGGGAGGCCAAGGTGGGTGGATCACAAGGTCAGGAGATCCAGACCATCCTGGCTAACACGGTGAAACCCCGTCTCTACTAAAAATACAAAAAATTAGCGGGGTGTGGTGGTGGGCGCCTGTAGTCCCAGCTACTCGGGAGGCTGAGGCAGGGGAATGGCATGAACCCAGGAGGTGGAGCTTGCAGTGAGCCAAGATTGCGCCACCGCACTCCAGCCTGGGCAACAGAGCAAGACTGTCTCAGAAAAAAAAAAAAATTCATTTTCTCCCATTCTCTAGCTAAGAAATGAGAACACAAGAAGGTTTTATGAATAAGAAGGATGGCACCTATAATTTAGTTTCATTGGAATACTAACTGATCAGTTCTTCACTCTTGTTTTTGAAGTTTTATGAAAGCTTTATGAAATCACATGGAGTATATTGCTTTGTCATTCTACTTAGTGCCAAAATAATAGTAAAAAAAAAATAACCTGCATTCAACCTCTTCTTTTCTGCTTCTGGACAAGCACTCCTTTCTCAGGAATTCCTGACTCTGCTTGCTGATGGTGAAGAGAGAGTGGCAATGAACTCTATCTGATAGTCTGGGGCAAACTCTGCTGCAGAAGCCCTGAGGCTGGCACCAGAATCAATGACTCTTTGTTTCTCGTGGGCTGGTGACTGATGCCTGCCTCATCAGTCCAGTCTCCTAGGAAGAGCATTTCCAGCTTCTTCACCCTATCCTCTGAGAATTCAATCACGTCTGAGGCACACCTTCTCTCATGTGCCAGGCCCACACAATGGAGCTTTCTGTGCCATAAGCAATGTCAGCTTCATCTTTTTGTCGGGGTGTGGTGAACCTGACTCACACATTGATGTACAGTCAACTCACATGGTGACAAGAATCTATAATAGCATGTCTTCTAAAGTGACTTATATGACTTCATTAGTTTATATAATTATACAAGAGGAGAACCATGTCTTTTTCTTCTTTGTGTCCTAATATCTAGCACAGTGAGTGCCTACAACGTATATAAGCTCTTACTAAATATTATACTAAACTGTACATTTTTTATTTGTTTGCTGTTTTTCAGGACAGGCCCTTGCAATTAACTTTTGATCAATGCAAGTGCTGTGAGAACTGGAACCAAGTTGGGCAGAGTAGGCAGGCAATAAATAATTGCATTGATCAAATCATTCCTCTTACCATTCTGTATATATGACAGGACTATTTTTATTTCCAAGCTGTTCCACTTAAACAAATAGTATCTTCACTCTCCTCCTGTCCTTTTCATTCTATTTAAAACAACTACTTAGCTTTTCTTGCTTAATATTACTAAGGCAAAAGTGGTTGATTGAATGGTGCCATTGTTACTTTTATATACAGAGAACTTGCCATTGGAAGTTCTAGACAAAGCTTAGATTCCTGGCATAATAGGTTTTATTTATTTTACAAAGTGATCTGTCAAAAACGGAGGCGGCCATCCTGAATACCGTTACTAGGTACTTCCCTACAGGGTCTCATTCAGGATGTGCTCTTTCCCAATGTTAAGAAATATACTGAGGCAGTGGCATTTAAATATTTGCCCTGAGATACTATCAAATATATCCAGATGGAGACATTCAGCAGCAGTGAATAAGGCTATCCATTTCCCTATTGTTTATGCCTATGAGGAACAGATGAGTGGTTCTTTTTATTAATGAGTAAAGAAATGCCTTCTAAAAACCAAATAATAAAAAAGAGTTGTAAATCTCCTTTAAAAATTAGTGTTGTATCCATGCCATATACTGGAAGCCCTAGAAACTCCTTATTAATTTGTTATGGCCCAAATTTCTAAAAACTATATTTTAAAAATCTGCAGATGGCATTGATCAGTGGCACTACCCACTCCTTTTCCACCATGGCACATTTTCATCATTTTTCATGAACAAGGAGACTGGATCATCTCACATTTCGATAACATCATAGAGATCCAAAACTTAGCATCCATATTGTCAATAATCAAGTTGATGTGACTCCTACAAATGAATTCATCAACATAAAACATTATAATTTGTTATTGTATCCCCTCAGATTCTATGCAATTGACTTTTAACAGCAGAAGATAATTCAGGAAGATTAGGGTTCAGGCAGATTTTAAGGGCAAGTTCAAAAACTCCTACGCAGGATATATTTTCTATGGCTTTCGACAAAGACGAAGTAATTCTAGGAAGCTGTTTTTGACAAGACCATGAGTCTTACTTTTTTTTTATTATAATTTAAGTTCTAGGGTACATGTGCACATCATGCAGGTCTGTTACATATGTATACATGTGCCATGTTGGTGTGCTGCACCCATTAATGGTCATTTACATTAGGTATTTCTCCTAATGCTATCCCTCCCCCCTCCCCCCACCCCACAACAGGCCCAGGTGTGTGATGTTCCCCACCCTATGTCCAAGTGTTCTCATTGTTCAATTCCCACCTATGAGTGAGAACATGCAGTGTTTGGTTTTCTGTCCCTGTGATAGTTTGCTGAGAATGATGGTTTCCAGCTTCATCCATGTCCCTGCAAAGGACATGAACTCATCCTTTTTTATGGCTGCATAGTATTCCATGGCACACATTAAGAATATGTGCCACATTTTCTTAATCCAGTCTATCATTGTTGGACATTTGGGTTGGTTCCAAGTCTTAGCTATTGTGAATAGTGCTGCAATAAACATATGTGTGCATGTGTCTTTATAGTAGCATGATTTATAATCCTTTGGGTATATACCCAGTAATGGGATCGCTGAGTCAAATGGTATTTCTAGTTCTAGATCCTTGAGGGATCACCACACAGTCTTCCACAATGGTTGAACTAGTTTACACTCCCACCAACAGTGTAAAAGCGTTCCTATTTCTCCACATCCTCTCCAGCACCTGTTGTTTCCTGACTTTTTAATGATCACCATTCTAACTGGTGGAGTCTCACATATTTCTAATTGGAGTTAAAGGAGGCAATAGAAAAAGAAAACAAAATATTTAGAGAGACAGCAGTTTATAATCTTCCAGAATGAATGAAAGAGCAAACTCTCTGATGCAAAAAAAAAAAGTGAATGAAAACAAAGCAAATAAGAAGAAATGCATACCTAGAAAGAACATGGTGAAACTGCAGAATGCCAACAATAAAAAAAGTCTTTAAAGAAGCCAGAAAAAGATATTACCATCAAAACACTGCCAAACTGACAGCTGATTTTTCAGCAGCAATAGTGGAATACTCAAAGTGTTTACAACTTAAGTTTTCAGATATTTCTATTGAAACTATCTTTCAAAAACAAAGGAGAAATAAACACAATTTTAAAGACTATTTTTTAGGGCAGTTGTAAAATTGACAGTAAAATTGAGCAGAAAGTACAGTGTAACCATATATCCCTCAACCCTACACACATACAACCTCTCCCACTATCAACATCTGGCATCAGAATGGCATATTTGTTGCAATTGATGAACCTACACTGGCACATCGTTATCACCCAGAGTCTATAGTTTACATTAGGGTTCACTCTTGGTGTTGTACATTCTATGAGTTTGGACGAACGTAATGACACGTATCCACCATACAGAATAGTTTCACTGCCCTAAACATCCTCTGTGCACCACCAATTCAGCCTTCCTTTTCTGCTAACCCCTGGCAACTCCTGATCTTTTACTGTCTCTATAGTTTTGCCTTTTCCAGAATGTCTATAGTTGGAATAATACAATATGTAGCCTTTTAGATTGGATTTTAGCAATTTGCGTTTAATGTACCCCCTTCATGGCTGGGTAGCTCATTTCTTTTTAGTGCTATTATTTCATTGTCGGAAGGTACCACAGTTTATTTAACCATTCACCTACTGAAGGAGACCTTGATTGTTTCCAAGATTTGGCACTTATGAATAAAGTTGCCATAAACATTCATGTGCAGGATTTTACATGGACATATGTTTTCATCACCTCTGGCTGAATATCAACAAGCGCAATTATTGGATCATATGTTAAGAGTATGTTTAGTTTTGTAAGAAACTGAAAAACAGTCTTCCAAAGGGCCTGTACCATTTTCCATTCCCACCAGCAATGAGTGAGAGTTCCCATTGCTTCACATCCTCACCAACATTTGGTGTTGTTGGAGTTTTGAATTTTGGCCATTTTAATAGATGTATAGTGGTATTTCAATGTTTTAATTTGCATTTCCCTGATGACATACAATGTGGAATATCTTTTCATATGCTTATTTGCCCTCTGTATAACTTTTTTGGTGAGATATTGCTTAGTTCTTTGGCCCATTTTTTAAAAATTGAGTTGTTCATTTTCTTTTGTTGAGTTTTAAGATTTCTTTGTATATTTTGGATAACAATACCTTTATCAAATAGGTCTTTTGCAAATATTTTTCTCCCAGTCTGTGGTTTATCTTCTTATTTTCTTGACATTGTCTTTTTCAGAGCAGAAGTTTTTAATTGTAATGAAACTCAATTTATCAATTATTTCTTTCAAGAATTGGGCCTTTGGTGTTGTACCTAAAAAGTCACCACCATACCCAAAGTCATAGGCTTTTTCCTATGTTATCTTCTAGGAGTTTTATAGTTTTGAATTTTACACTTAGGTCTATAATTTATTTTGAGTTAATTTTTGTGAAAGATGTGAAGTTGTCCCATATTCTTTTTTTTTTTTTTTTGCATGTTGCTCTTCAGATGTTCCAGCACCATTTGTTGAAAAGATTATTTTGTCTATTGACTTGCCTTTGCTTCTTTGTCCAAGATTAGTTGGCTATATTTGTGTGGGTTTAATCTTGAGCTCTCTATTCTGTTCCATTGATCTATTAGTTTATTGTTTTGCCAAATACCACACTGTCTTGATTATCAAAGCTTTAGAGTAAGTCTTAAAATTTGGTAATGTCAGTCTTTTGACTTCATTCTTCTTTTTAAATATTGTGTGGGCAATTCTGGGTCTTTTGCCTCTTCCTATAAGCTTTAGAATCAGTTTTTTGATGTCCTCCAAATAACTTGCTGGGATTTTGACCAAGATTGCGTTGAATCTATAGATTACATTGAAAAGAACTGATGTCTTGACAATTTTCAGTTTTCCTATACTTGAACATGGACTATCTCTCCATCTTTTTATTTCACTGATTTCTTTCATTGCAGTTTTGTGGTTTTTCTTATATAGATCTTGTACGTATTTTATTAAATTTATACCTAAGCATTTAATTTTTGGAGAAGATAATATAAATGGTATTATGTTTTTAATTTCAAATTCCACTTGGTCTTTGCTAGTGTAAAGAAAAGCAATTGATTTGTGTATATTAACCTTCTACACCGTAACTTTACTATAATCTATTAATTTGTTTTGTTGTTGTTGTCATTTTTGTTTTTTTGCTTTTTAGAGACGGGTCTTGCTCTGTTACCCAGGTTGGAGTGCAGTGGCACAATCATAGCTCACTGCAGCCTCAAATTCCTGGGCTCAAGTGGTTTTTCTGCCTCAGCCTCTCAAGTAGCTGGGACTACAGGTGCACACCACTGCACCTGGGTAATTTTAAAAATTATTTTTGTAGAAACAAGGTCTTGCTTTGTTGCCCAGGCTGGTCTCGAACTCCTGGCCACAAGCAATCCTCCTGTCTCAGCTTCACAAAATGCTGGGATTACAGTCATGTGCCACTGTGCCTGGCCCCAGGAATTTTTTTGATGTTGTTGATTCTTTCAGATTTTCTAGATAAACAATTATGTCATGTGTGAATACAGTTTATTTCTTCCTTCCCAATCTGTACATATATTTTCTTCTCTCATCTTACTGCATTAGTTAGAACTTCCAGTATCATCTTGAAATGTGAGTGGTGAGAAGGGACATCCTTGCCCTGTTCTTGATCTTGGCAGGAAAGCTTCTAGTTTCTTATAAACAAACGTTTTGAAGACAAAAACTGAAATTTCTACCAACAGACTTAACATCAAAGAAATTTTTTAATGAAAGTTTTTTGTTTCCAAAATGAAAGAATTTTGGAATTTTGCTTTGGTTTATGCGTCTTTGTTTTGTTTCACCTGCCATTCTCCATGACTGAAAGTTGATGGTGGTAGCTCAATAGTCCATGTTTTCTTAGTTGCTTATTATGTTCTTTTTAAAAACAACAATAGTACTTTATTGGGTACCATTTACATATGGCAATATGCAGAAATACTAAGTGTACAGCTTAATGACTACACAAACACATATGTGTAGGTATATGTATATATATATATATACACATATACATACACACTAATAAAATTTAGGTAATGCTGATATTCTAATATTAACAGAATACACTTTAAGGATAAAAGCATTAAAAGATTTTCTTGGGCTAAAATAACTGTGAGATCAAAACCAAGGAAAATTATAGATTAATATCCTTTATGAATATATATGAAAGTTACCAAGGAAATATTCACAAACTAAATTACCCAACGTACATCAGGCTCAAGTTGAATTTGTTACAGGAATGCAGGTTGATTAAACGTTCTCAAGTTTATTACTCTAATACTACCTTAACAAACTATGAAGAAAGAAAACATACAATTATCTCAATATGTAAGGCAATTATGGAGAAAATTTTAAAACTTAATTGGAAATGCATTATCGAGTTTCAGGTTGGACAAAGGACTTACAAGTGAAAGGCAAAACTTTAAAACTTTTAGAAGGAAATAAAGGAGAATAAATTACCTCATAATAGGTAGGAATTTCTTTAATAAGACATCTAAAACAAATCATAAAGAAAAAGGTTAATACATTGAACTACATTAAAATGAATAATTCTATTCATCAATAAACCCCAATTTGTGACATACATACCTAGCAATGGATTAGTCTCCAAAATATATGGAACTCAAAAGATAATTTTTAAAACTCAAAATCACTGAAAAAAGCACAGACAACCTAATAGAAAAAATGGGCAAAAGACAAAAATGGGCATTTTCCAGAAAGACAGCAGGACTGGCAACAAACATATGGGAAATGCAAATTAAAATAACATAAAATACTACTTGTACCAATCACACCAGCAATAATTAAAAAGTTGGATAATAAAAAGTGTTGGAGAGATTCTCAAGCAATAACAGAAGGCAAGTATGAGTACAGTTGGCCCTCTGTATCCATGGGTTGTATATTCATGGATTCAACCAACCATGGATAGAAAATATTTGGAAAGAAGAGGGAGCTTGCATTTGTCCTGAACAGGTACCAACTTTTTTCCTTATCACTATCTCTTAAACAATACAGTGTAACAACCATTTACATAACATTTACATTGTATTGGGTATATTAAGTAACCTAAAGATTAAAGTATATGGGAGGGTATGCATAGGTTATATGCAAATACTATGCCATTCTACATAAGGGACTTTAGTATCTGTGGATATTGATATCTATAGGAAGTCCTGGAACCAATCCTCCACAGATACTGAAGGATAACTGTATAAATTAGTACTCTGGAAAACGAGCTGGCATTATCCAGTAAATAAAGTTAAAGGTGCCCATGTCCAATAACTCAACAATTCTACTTCTAGGTAGATAAACCTAGATAAACTTTTGCATATGAATACCAGGAGATATACAAGAATGTTCAAGGCAGGCGTGTTTGTAAGAGCCAAGCAGACACACAAATAAATAACAGTCTATAAAAATTTCAATATTCACCCAAAGCAAAAATAAATTATGCTGTAAATTATAACATATTCATAAAATGTAATACTCTATAGTGATGAAAAATGAATTATTCCTACATGCCTCAACATGAACAAATCCCAGAAGATAATTTTTTAAATACATTTTTATTGTATATATTTAAGGTATACAATACGATGTTATGGGATACATATAGATAGTAACATATAGTGAAGCAAATTAACATATCCATAATCTCACATAGATACCTATTTCTTCTTTGTTTCTGTGGCAAGAGTAACTAAAATCTACTCAGCAGGTTTCCCAAATACAGTGCAATTTTATTACCTGTATTCCTCATGATGTACATTAGATCTCTAGTCTTATTCAGCCCACATATTTGACCTACATCTCCCTATCCCCTGCCCATAACAACAGTTTTATTCTCTATCTCTGTATATTTGGCTTTTTATTTTAGATTTCACAAATAAGCGAGATAACACAATATTTTTCTTTCTGCGTCTGACTTATTTCCCTTAGTATAACATCCTCCAGGTTCACTATGTGTGGCAAATGGCAGAATCTTCTTTTTCAATATTGAATAATATACATTCAGTGTAAGAGAACTATATGTGTATGTATATGTATATATCACAGTTTATCCATTTGTCCATTAACAGACACATAGGCTCTTGTCATATCTTGGCTATTGAGAATAGTGCTGCAATGAACATGGGAGTGTGGATGTCTTTACGAGGTGATTATTTCATTTACTTTGGGTCTATGCTCAGAAGAAGGACTGCTTGATCAGATCATGATGGTTCTCATTTAAATTTCTTTAGACATCTCAATATTATTTTTCATAATGGTTGTACCAATCTATAACCCCACCAAGAATGTACCAGGGCTCCCTGTTCTCCACAACTCCACCAAAATTTGTCTTTTGTTTTTTTGATAACAGCCATCCTAATGGGTGTGAGGTGATATCTCAGCGGTTTTGATTTGCATTCTCCTGATGATTAATGATGTTGGGTGCCTTTTCATATATCTGTTGGCCACTTTCATGTCTTATTTGGAGAAATGTCGACAAGTGTTCTTTTCCCACTTTAAAATCAGGCTATTTGCTTTCCTATTATTGAGTTGTATGAGTTCTTTATTAATTTTGGATATTATCCCCTTATCAGACACATGGTTTGCAAATATTTTTCCCAATCAATAGGCTGTCATTTTATTTTGTTGGTTATTTAGTTTGCTGTGCAAATCTTTGTAGTTCAATGTAGTCCCATTTATTTATTTTTGCTTTTGTAGCCTGAGCTTTTTTTTTTTCCATTTTTTGGTGTGATATCCAAAAAATTATTTCCAAGGCCAATGTCCAGGAGCTTTTTGTGTTCTCTTTAAGGAATTTTATAGTTTTAGGTCTTATATTTTATAAATTTTGCATATATGTGGAAATTCAATTTTCCCAGCACTATTTATTGAAGAGCCTAACCTTTTCCCACTGTATCCTCTTGGTGTCTCTGTCAAAAATTAGTTTACTGTATATGTTTGAATTTATTTCTGGACTCCATTCTGTTTCACTGTGTCTGTTTTTGAGTAAGTACTATACTGATTTGTTTACTATAGCTGTGTAATATAATTTTAAATCAGGAAGTATGATACCTCCGCTTTTTTTTTTCAGAAGACAATTTTTAGTGAAAAAAACTGAGGTACAGAAGAAAACAAACAGCATGATTCTACATATGTAAAGCTGAAAATTATGTAAATTTAAGCAATAGATTGTTTAGACATATATACATTAGTTGCAAAAACTATAAAGACAAGGAAGACAAAATCAAACATAAAATTCAGGTATATTATTAGTAGCCCGAGGAGAAAGACTTGCAACTCCTATTTATTTTTAACCTACTCCTCTCCCAGCCCCCAATATATAGACATAGTTTAGCAGGGAACTCAGTGCATTGCAAATTGGACACTGAAAAAGTATTAGATAAACCAGTTTGTGTTGACTTTCCCTGGTGTTTCTTCTGATTGACTTCTTGACTTCATAAAATAACTTTTTTCACAAAGCGTGGAGTGGTACTAGAAGTAAAGAAAACTTATGTTTTCTAACAATTCTTCAGTTTCTCTTCTCTCCCCTCATGTAGGTCTACAGTCCTTCTAGTTATTTTAGAAATCAAAGCTGTGCTAGGAACAGCTACCTTGAAGATTTCAATAGTGTCTTTTCAAAAGCTTCCTCTCTGAACCTTTCAGATGAAAAGGAAATCATTTGGTCTTTCAAGTGGCCTGATTGAGACTCTACATCTGACAAATCCAACTCGTAATTTCGATTAAACCGTCCATGATCTCATCCATAATTAGCATAAATTTTTATGGTATGCTTCTTTTCAGTAGATGCATTTCTAAATAATACCTGAATCCCATTTTGAAAGAACTTATTTTATATGTACCAGAATTCTTGACTATAACTGTGAGATGTAGACTTCCAATTATGGGTTCATGCTACAGTTTATAATTGCACCATACATTTCCTTTTGTAAAAATTCATATTTTCCTCATGTCTACTCTTCTTGGAGCTCCACTTTTCATGAAGAGTATCTCTGCAAGAAGAGAAAGCTGGTTTCTCCATCAAAGCTGAGGAACTGGCATGTCAGTGTCTTGTAGGATTTGAACATTTTTTAACAACGTTTGAGCCTTAATCGTAAGAAAATAAACAGAAGTTAATATGAGCCAAGCAATATAGACCTCTTCTTTGGAGCATTCTTGTGCTTCGGTGTTTAAGATAGTCAGTGTCTGGTAGGTAACTAAAGTCAAAAAGAAAAATAGGGAGATTATCTTTCAAAAAATAATCATGAACTGATTTGTCATAAAATTTAGTATGTAATGCCAGAGAAAAAGCAGAACTATGTATAATTCACGGTTGTATACTTCCGTTTGTTCTTTGCCACTTCTTAGGTAGAGAGGAGTATATAAATTCTCTAAAACATGCAAATTAACTCATTTATGTAATTGATTACTTATAGTTAATAATTATGTAACCATTTATTTTAAAAGTATACTGTACCCACTTCTGAAAAGGCTTCGGGGCAGTTTACATATTAACCCATAGTTCAAAGGCACATTATCATGTCTCAGTACTAAATGAATTAGACCCTGGAAAACATAAAGGAGGTGATGCTCTCAAAGACTGGTTATGGTCAGAGTTTTTTGAATGGCTCCCACCTCAGACACTACCTCCTCCCTGTACTCTTAAGTGGCGGCTGCTTGTTCTTGAACCTTCCACTTAACCACATGGACTGGCTGGGCTGGTGGGCAGAAGCAGGAAGACTGACATGGGCAAGAGTGTAGACTTTGCAGATGACAAACTGCCTGGGTTAGACATGGCTATGTACCTTGGGCAAGTTATTAAAGGTCTCAGAGCCTCAGTTTCCTCATTTGTAAAATGGGAGTTACAGTATTGACCTCACAGATGAGAATTACATGAATTTAGTAAATGTAAATGTAAAGCACTTAGAACAGAACCTGGTAAACAGTAAGTGCTAAATAACCATTAACACTTGCTCATTCAATATTCCTCAAATGTCCTATGAAAATCCTTCTTCCTTTGAAACTTATGCCTCTCAAATTCACCATTGTCCATCTTTTCTTGTTGTTCTCATCATTTCCTGACATGGTTTATGAATTTTCTCTCCATCCCAAATCTGCCATAATCCTGGTGTCTTCAGTGTCCGTGTGGATGACCTTTCCAATACCCAGTGCCTTACCTTCAACATCACTGACCTTCATCTCCACACAGATATCAGCAACTCACCCCTTCCCCTTAGTATTACCTGGAGCTACTCCACCTATTCAACTTTCTTTCCATCAGCTCCTACAATCCTCATTGCTCCAATCATACCTGCTTCTCCTCCACAATTGTGAAGCCCCATCCCTCTCTTTCCTCTTCTGGTTTTACTTCCTTCATCCTGCTTTGGTTTAGCTCTTCAACCTGTCTCTTTAAACAATACTTCCAACTTCTCACTCTTCTTGCTTTCTTTTGCTTCTGCAACACTTACCCAAATGTGGATTGATCCATCCTTCTTTGCTCCTAAAACCACACTAAGTAAATCACTCGACCATGTGCACTAGAGCCATTAATTCTTGGTCTGTGTCCTCAACTGAGCCCTTAACAGTCTGGCAGCCTCCTCCATGCCCCTAGCTAGCTCTGTGTTTCTTTGCCAACCTTGCACTCCCCTCTTTGCTGAACTCTCGTATACATTCACCAAGTTCTAAACCATTTCCTAAGTATGTCTTGAATCTAAAAGCCCCTTTTCATTGCTTCTCCATTGAAAGCACAATTGAGCAGCACATCAGCTCAGTTGGTCTCCTTTCCTCCTCTCCAAAATATTCTTTCTGTTGCCAAAGTGATCTTCCTAATATGCAAGAATCGTCATGTTCAGCACATACTTAATATCCTTCAGTAACTCCCTACTGCTTTCTGAATAAGTCTCACCTATAGCTTGGCCAAGGTGCTTTGTGAGCAAGCCTCTGTTTACCTCTTTTAGATTCCCTCCCAATTCTTCTAACCTGCACCCTATGCACTCAATTACTTGTGCTTCCTCAGCTGTGCCATATTCTGTCACATCTCCATGTACCTCATATGCTACCTTCTTTGCAGGGAATGCCCTGTTTTTCTTTATCTACCTGGATAATTCCTACTGGTCTTTTTGGGTTCATTCAAGTGTTACTGCTTGTCAGCTCTGGTACAGCGCCTTCCCAGACCCTTCCTCTTAGAACCTACCACCAGGCTGGTTGAGTATCTCCCTTTGCTCTTCTGCAGTGCCTGTCTCTATCAAGTACTTACCATGCTTGCCAGCAATTGGCATACAGGAAATGGCTAGTAAATGAATGAATAAGTTAAGACATCTCATTTCCATAAAGTAACAATAAAAACTATCATAGCATTTCATTTTACATGTGCATTTGTAATAGAGATTTCAAAAACTGTGGAGCTGGTTTTGGTAGGGTATGTATTACAGAGTGACTGATACTCCAGTTATCTGGTTCCTGGGCAGCCCAAATGCTCAGGTAACTATCTTAGGAAAACCAAAGACTTGACTGAGGGCTACCACTTTCTGAAAAATGCTGGGAGTCCAACGGTTTGTTAGGCACCTAGGGGTGTCTTCTCATTCCCCTCCTGACAGCAAGATGGCTTCAGTAGCTGTGGCATCACATCCCTATGCAACAACACTTAAGAGTCAAACAAAGGTCTGTTTCTCTCTTGTGTTTCTTTGTTAAAGGGGCAACAAAAATCCTTTCCCAAACTCCTCCCCCATCTGTACTACCAGAATATTTTTCTCCAGTCTCACAGCCAAAACCAGGTCACATTCCAAACCTCTAAACTGGTTACAGAAATGGGGAATGGGGGCAGACCAATAAGGATTTACTTCAATCACTTAAGGGTCTAGGGCACTAGTACACAATTAAGGTCTGTCCTCAAGGACACAGAAGGAAATGGCTGTTGAACAGGCAACTCTCAGTCTTTGCTAAAACGAGTGTCATAGTAGAACAAATATTGGATTTAGAGTCAGGCACATTGTAATTTGATTTCAATTTCTGCTGTTTCCTTGTTGTGTGACCTTGGGCACCTTCCTTATCTCCCTGAGATTCAGTCTCCTCATCTATAAGATGAGGACACCAAAATCTGACTTTTAAGATTACCAAGAAGATTAAATAAGATAACATCTATAATGTTGCTAACCCACAATGAACATTCATTCACTTAAAAATATTTTTGAACACTTACTATGTGCCAGGCACTCTGCCAGGGATATAGGGGTGAACGAGACAGATATGATCCCCCTTCATAAAATTTATTAACAATTGATGTTAGTTTTTAAAAGTTTTCTAATTTTGCCAAGAAGTTCAGTTTTCTAATTTTGCCATGATGAGGACACCAAAATCTAACTTTTCTTTTCTTTTTTTTTTTTTTTTTTTTTTTTGAGATGGAGTCTCACTCTATCACCCAGTCTGGAGTGCAGTGGCATGATCTCGGCTCACTGCAAGCTCCGCCTCCTGGGTTCACACCATACTCCTGCCTCAGCCTCCTGAGTAGCTGGGACTACAGGCACCCGCCACCACGCCCGGCTACTTTTTTTTTTTGTATTTTTAGTACAGACGGGGTTTCACTGTGTTAGCCAGGATGGTCTCTATCTCCTGACCTTGTGATCTGCTCACCTCGGCCTCCCAAAGTGCTGAGATTACAGGCGTGAGCCACCGTGCCCAGCCAAAATCTAACTTTTAAGATTACCAAGGAGATTAAATAAAATAACATCTATAATGTTGCTAACCCACAATGAACATTCGTTCACTTAAAAATATTTTTTGAACACTTACTGTATGCCAGGCACTCTGCCAGGGATATAGGGGTGAACGAGACAGATATGATCCCCCCTTCATATAATTTACTAACAATTGATGTTAGTTTTTAAAGCTTTCTAATTTTGTCAAGAAATTCAGAAGCACTTTGATTACCTTGACGATCACTTTTTAAAGAAACCTAATGTCTCAGACGTGCTTACAGTTTCTGAGATTTTATATTTAATGTCTGATTCAAAACTTTTTTTTTTTGCTTTATTCTGTTTAATTAAAAGTTTCCCATCAAGAAAATGAAAAGACAAGCCACAGACTGGGAGAAAATGTTTGCAAAAGATATATCAGATAAAGGGCTGTTATTCAAAATACACAAATAAATCTTAAAATTCAGCAATAAGTACATAAACAATCCAGTTTTAAAATAGACCAAAGAACTACACAGACACCTCACCAACAAAGGTATAGATGGCAAATAAACATTTGAAAAGATGCTCCACATCCTGTCATCAGGGAAATGCAAAATAAAACAGCATCAAGATACTACTATACACCTATTAGAATGCCCCAAATCCAGAACCCTGACAACACCCAATGCTGGTTAAGGATGAGGAGTAACAGGAATTCTCATTCATTGCTGATGGGAATGCCAATGATACAGCCACTTTGGAAGACAGTTTGGCAGTTTCTTACAAAACTAAATATTTTCTTACCATATGATCCAGCAATCGTGCTCCTTGGTATTTACCCAGAGGAACTGAAAACACATGTCTACACAAAAGCCTGCACATGAATGTTTATGGCAACTTTATTCATAAGTGTCCAAAGTGGGAAACAACTAAAATGTCCTTCAGTAGGTGAACGGAAAAATAAACCGTGGTACCTGCAGACAGTAAAATAATGTTCAGCACTAAAAGGAAAGGAGCAATTCAGCCATGAAAAGACATGGAGAAACCTTAAATGCATATTACTAAGTGAAAGAAGACAAACTGAAAGTCTCCATGTGTATGTATGATTCCAACTATGCAACATTCTGGAAGGGCTAACCTATGGAGCCAGTAAAAGATCAGGGGGTGCCAGGGTTTAGGGGAAAGGGGGAAATGAATAGGCAGAGCACAGAGGGTTTTTAGGGCAGTGAAACTATTCTGTATGATACTCTAATGGTGGAGACATGTCATTATACGTTTTTCCAAAGCTATAGAGTGTACAATGTCAAGAGTGAACATTAATGTAAATTATGGACTCTGGGTGATAATGATCTGTCAATGTAGATTCATCTATTATAATAAATGTACCACTCTGGTGGGAGATGCTGATATTGGGAGAGGCTGTGAGTGTGCCAGGGACAGAAGATATATGGGAACTCTCTGAAAACTTTTGCTCAATTTTACCATGAACCTAAAGCTGCTCTAAAGAATAAAGTTTATTGAAACCCAACACAATTATCAGAGACATTTGTATTTTTATGAGTATACTATCACTATGAATACCATCCTGATTCCTAACCTAAAGATGACTTGCAAAGTGCAATTTTTAGAAAGTGGACAATGAAGACAATATCCAAAACAACCTTATGAGCCTAGAAAAAAGTCCAGATGTGATACATATGGTCACCTCATCTGAGTAGTCATGTACATGGTCCAGAGTCAAGGCAGATGCAATTCATAGGAAGGGTTAACCTCCACTTAGTAGGAACGATCAGGTAATTAGAGTGACCCATTCCCCAACCAGGTCCACTAATAGTTTTTCCTCTTTTATATCAAATAAACAACATAGTTAAGAGGGATTATCAAGATACATTTGCTATGTTTTGGTGATAAAAGAAAAAATGTTCTATTAATCACAAACTCTATCCCATTACAAAAGTTTACTGCTTTGAGTTGGACTGGGTTATTGTTCAGCAAACACTCCCTCCCACCTTTTCCTCAGAGTGGAATATATTTTCCTACCTTTGGGCTTAGCTATGTGACATGCTTTGGCCACTGGAAATTAGCAGGTGTGATGCAAGCAGCAGTTCTCAATATGCTTGATGCAAGCGCAGTTCTCAATATGCTTGAGTGGTGGACACATTGTCTTGTTCTCCAGTGATCTGCCTGGAGAGCAAGGCCTGGTTGGCCTCTGCCCCATCATCCTAAGTTGCAGAATAAAAAATGAGGAGGTGACCCAAACCCAACCCAAAACCTAGAACCAAAACCAGCCAACGTGCAACTTGAAGCAGAGCTGCCCAGCCTGGCTGAACCTCCATCAGCCCAGCTGAAGTTGCCTGTGAGTGTCAGAATAAGTGCTTGCTATTGTGAGCCACTGAGCTGTGGAGAATTTTGCCATTATGGTGGCAATAACTGCTTTACAGCTATAATCAGAAGTGTAAAGGTCAGGTTGTTATGACTCCTCTAATAGTAATGGACTTGGCTCCATTTACCTCACTCTGCATCTGCTCTATGAAACTAGGGATTCAGATTTCAAGGTGTTTTAGTGCCTTGAAGGACCAGCGGACCTCCATCAGATCCCTGTGAAATCTGAAGGGAGGTGGAAGGAGATGGAGATAGGTGTCCCTGGGGTTAGTGAAGAGGAGCTAGAATTTAGGTCTTCTAGGGCCATAGCAACAATGGGAAAAATGGTGGAAGAGACTATACCCACATTCAGGTTAGCAGGCATGCTATTCTGCGTTTACTTAAAAAAGTGGGATGTCCTACTTTGGAGGGAGATGTACAAAGAGTTATTATAGAACATAGGTAAGTTACGTTTTTTAACAGCCAACTGTTGAGATCAGCAAAACTATAACCTAGGAAAAGTGTCACTTTCGAGGTAAAAACTGCATATATTTAGAGAAATGATACATTGTATATGCTTGCAGTGGGAATGTAAATTGGTCTAAACCCTTTGGAAAACTTTGGAGTAACTGGGAGAACAAACTCATATTCGGTAAAGTTGAAGAAGATCATATCTTAAGAGACAGTGGTTTTGCTGCTGGGTATGTACCATAGACCAATGGGTCTCAACAGAACTAGTGCCACACCTGGGAGGCAGGTCTGCTTATAATAGTGATGGAGGGTGTGTGTGTGTGTGTGTGTGTGTGTGTGTGTGTGTGTATGTGTTACTGCCATTTAGTAGGTAAGGGCCAGATATCTTGTATGTCCTGAAATTTGGATGGTTTCATTCAAAAAAGAATTGTGCTGGGTCCTTCATGACTTTAGAAGGTCTAGTAGAACATTTATATAGGTGGGAAACCCGATTATAATTATCTAAGAGTATAACGTAACCCTGTTTTAGATATAAATGATAAGTACTCTGTAAGGTCTTATTGTATACCAAATTTTTCAGAGATGCAACTACTAGATAAAGGCAGCCTGAATTGTGTTTTGTTCAGAATGTTACCAAGAGTTCTTCACATTACCAATAGTTGCATCACTTGCAGTGCTTGAGTTACCAGTCTCACAATCTTCTATGACTCTGCATCTGTGAACTGCTTCATCATGTCTCCTAATGTAGTGGAGTGTATTTGTGGTTACTGACATATTGAAATAAATATTATTTTATTAAAATTACTGTTCTTACATTTTTAGTTTATATCATAGAAAGTGTATTGCAATGATTTTTTAAAATGTGTGCAGATAAGTTATGAATTTCATTTCAAGATAGTAAGTGGGATGATACAAAATATTTATTAATAAAAGAGTACATCAGGTCTGATTGTGGTAAGAACTACAGCCCAAGATTAATTCACATATGTACCCAAAGATAACACTAGGTAGAATTGTGTTCTCCAATACGATAGTTATCAATCTCACTAATTAAAACTAAACAGACTAAGAATGTGATTCTTCAGTCACACTAGCTACATTTCAAGTGCTCCATAGCCACATGTGGTGAGTGGCAACAGTCTTGTTGAGTGCAGATATAGGACGTTTTCATCATTGCAGAAAGTTCTTTTGGATATCTTTGGCAACAATATTTATGGTATCAAAAAACTGGAAACAACCTACAAATATCTCACTTATCCATTCCCCTTTTAAGAAGCAGGGGACATGGAGGAATGGATAAGTAAGGTGGCAGGGTACAGGGAAATGCATGAGTAAGTGAGATATTACACAGCAATGAAAAGGAAAGCTTATGTGTATCAACACAAATGAATCTCATAAATAACAATGAGTGAACAAAGCAAAAAGCAGACCTGCACTTTTACAGCATTTAAACATAAAATAGTACTATATGTGGTTCAGGGATCCATATGTAGCAAACACATTTTTAAAATGCATGAGATTGATAAATAAAAAATTCAGGTTAGCAGTTACCTATGGCAGCAAGGGAGGAAATGGAGGCTTACCTGCAATGGTAATGTTTCATTTCTTCATGGGTAAGGACGGCATACAAGAATTCATTATTCTTTATATGTTTTTGATATAAAGAATATGTTTTTAATGTATTTTTATATATTAAATATTGCAAAATAAATTTTTCAATGGAGGAACATTCATGAGCTCCTAAAAGCATGGAGACCTGTTTTGCTCACGGCTCTATCCTTAATGCCAAGCAAAGTGCCTGGCACAGAGTAGATGCTCAATTAATATTTGTTGAATAGTCAGCCAAACATATAAAGGAAAACTTCACATATTATAGTTTGGACTCTAACACAGATGTAATGTGCTTCCATCCCACCCAATCAGGGTATCCAGTAACACAAACTCTTTCTTTTTTAAGAGACAGGGTCTCACTCAGTTGCCAGGCTGGAGTACAGTGGTGTAATCATAGTTTACTGCAGCCTCAAACTCCTGGGCTCAGGTGACCCTCCCACCTGAGACTTCCAGGTAGCTAGCACTACAGGTACACGCCACTATGCTTGGCAAATTTTTTTTGTATTATTATTATTATTATTTTTGTAGAGACTGGGTCTCACTATGTTGCCCTGGCTGGTTTCAAACTCCTGGCCTTAAGCAATCCTCCTGCCTTGGCTTCCCAAAGTGCTAGGATAATAGGTGTGAGCCACCATGTCTGATCACAAACATTTTCTTAATCATACATTAATGTTACAAAGATCTATTAAGGGCCAGCTATAGGGCAGGAGCTCCTCCAGTGTTAGGGTTACAACAATGAACATAAACTAACTAAATATGGCAAGGGAGGGAATACAGATAATAAAGAAAAAATAAGTACGGTAGATAGTAAGTCACATGAAGATAAGTGCCCTCAAGAAAAATAAAGCTGGAAAGGGAAGGGGAAGAGGAAACATTAGATGTTAGGCACTATTAAATAGGGTAGTCATGTTGTTCTCTTTGAACATGTGATCTTTTAGCTAAGATTTGAAGTGAGGGAGGGGGTGATGAGCATGTGAGTGGGAGGGAAGAGCACATACAGACCTCAAGGCAATGGGTGCTGGGAAAAAGAGGCCAGCAGGGCAGAAGGAGCCTGAGTGCCTGGGAGAGGGTCAGAGACTGGGCAGAGCTTTCTAAATCACTGTAAGGACTTTGGCTTTTATTCTAGGTAATACTGAGGATTTGCAACAAAGGAATGATATCACCTGGCTTACATGTTTAACGAATCACTCTTTTGAGAATGAGTGATGGTAGGGAAGTAGAAACAGGGATACCAGTTAAGAGATTATCACAGTCATTCAAGCCAGAGATGATGGCAGCTAGAACCAGAGTAGCAAGAGAGGAGGTGATAAGAAGTAGTCAGATGCTTGGCTTATTTTGAAGATACGGGCACAGCTATCATGTATCCAGGGCATGAGAAAAAAAAAAAAAAAGAGCAGTCAGGGATAACAGGAAGATTTTTGGCTTGGAGCTGCCATTTGCTGAGAAAAGGCAGGGAGCTGGTTGGATGGGGGTGGAATTGCAGTTTAGTTTGGGACGTGTTAAGTTTGAAATGTTGACCAGGCACCCAGATGGAGTTGCTAAGTACACAGCTGGTATATGAGCTTGGGGTTCAAGGGACACATAGAAGCTGGAAGAATAAATTGGAGAGCCATTGGCATATAGGTGGTATTTAAAGGCAAAAAATAAGATCAGATCATCCAGGGAGTGACAGCAGCTAGCAAAGAAGAGAGGAAAAAGGGCCATGTCTTGAGGCATCGCAATGTATAGAAGTCAGGAAAAGGAGGGGGTGGAGGATCAGATAATGAGGTAGAAGACATCCACGCAAAGGCAGTGCCTTGGAAACCAAGTTGAGAAAGTACGTAAAGGAGGGGAGGAGTGCCCAACTGTGTCAAATTATGCTCAGGATTTAAGATGATGACAATAATAGACCATAGTATTAAGCAAAATGAAGGTTATGGAGGACCTTGCCTGGGCAGTTCTGGAGGAGTGGTGCGGGGGGTGTGAGACCCTTCTCATACAGGGCTCTGGAGGGAAAGGAATAAACAAGATAGACAACTCTTTTGAGGCCATTTTCTGCCTAATCTGACTTTTAGACGGAAAGAGAATCCATGTATTCCTGACTAAACAGATGCCAATACATACTGGAATCCAGAAATCTAAACATATCATATCTTATCTCAAAAGGATAGAACACAAAGCAGCAAGAAAAGTTCACTTAAGTATAAGAGTTTGCTTCACTTACTAGAAACAAAAAGAACCACCCAGAGAAACTGTCTGAACTAGGGATCCTGGTAGAAGAAATACTCACCTAAGTGAGTTGATCAACTTTCTCTAATTTTATATGATGCTAAATAAGCCACCTTTAGTTGTCATTGAATCAGATTTTCCCACTTGTACATTAGTGGTTGGAAAAATAGATTAGCTCAGCCCGATTATGTTATTTGCTAGAAAAGCCACTTATCTCATGAGAACTTTAACCCCAGGGACCAATTAACCTGTTGATTTATCCAGGATCAATACAGGTGATTCTCAGATAAGTCAAGCTTAATGTTCAAGAATCATGACAGAAAACCAGGTGTGTTCATGCATGCCTGTAGTCCCAGCTACTCAGGAAGCAGAGGTGGGAGGATCTCTTGAGCCCAGGAGTTCGAGGCTGTAGTGTGCAATGACTGCATCTGTGAGCAGCCGCTGCACTTCAGCCTGGGCAACACAACAAGACCCTGTCTCTTAAAAAAAAAAAAAATAGAACCCCCAGTGAGCTCAGGAGAGTTAATAAACAAGATGTGCCAGAACCACAGGCCTCCAACCCCTACACCTGCCTGCTCTCACCTTTATCCAGCCAACTATCTAAGGGGAAAGACTTAGATGTGAAAGACTGACTTTAGCTTATCATCAGAAATACTTTTGGACACCCTTCAACAGCTGCTGTCAGACCAAGAGCTGAAGAAAAAAGAATACACAAAGCAATTTCCTTCTCACAATATAGTAGTTTGCTAAGTTATTATAATATAACCCTGTGCAGTCCATTATAACAGAGGGTTAATTTTCTAATATAAGGCACTATTAGCTCTTCAGAAAATACAAGTTAAAACAGTGTCCAGAATTTTTAAGTAGGAATCAGTAAAGGAAGGAATACTTTTACAATTAAAAATTCTTATGGAATGGGAGCAAATTATTCTTAGAGCCGAGAAAGCTGAAAGAGCTAAGAAGGCAGACAATTTTCATCACATTTACTGAATTGAATAGTATTTATTGGATACATTCTTTCAATTTAAGTATTCACTTTGTAGAATTACCTATTTTAACAGAAAACAAAAATCTTAAAATGTGTTGCAAAAAGTCTTTTTTTTTTTTTGGTTGCTTTTTTGATGAGAATTTCCCATTGCTCCAAAAACCAAAATGCAATCAGATATTTTTAGTCTTTTCCTCAAACAGAAACTTTTCACATGAGCTCTTTATGTCGAGAGTAGAAAAAAAATGAACTTTTTGTTCTCTCTGAACATATACACCCTCTAGTGGTTCTAGAATTTAATAAAAAACAAGAATGAGAAATAACTGTATGAGCTAATAACTCAAATTATAGACTCTAGATAGAAAGAATGCCTTAACCCTCATGCAGTGCTGGTAGGAAGGTAAATTAGTAGAGCCACTAAGGAGAATAGCTTAGAGGTTCCTCAAAAATCTAAAAATAGAATTACCTATGATCCTGCAATCCCACTGCTAAGTACATATCCAAAAATAGGAAATCAGAATATCAAAGCTATATCTACATACCCATGTTTACTGCAGCACTATTCACAATAGCCAAGATATGGAATCAACCTAGGTGTCCATAAGCAGATGAATGGAAGAAGGCAATGGAATACTATTCAGCTGTAAAAAAGAATAAAATCCTGTCATTTGTAGCAACATGGATGAAACTGGATGACATTATGTTAAGCAAAATAAGCCAGGCATTGAAAGACAAACATCGCATGTTCTCACTCATGTGGGAGTTAAAAAAATTGAACTCATGGAGATAGAGAATAGAATGATAGTTACCAGAGCCTGGGAAGGGTAGTTGGGAGGCAGGAGATAAAGAGTGGTTGGTTAGGGGGTTCAAAAATACAGTTAGATAGAATAAATAAGATCTAGTGTTCAGTAGCACAATACTGCAACTATAGTTAATAATAATTTAATGTATATTTAAAAATAACTAAAAGAATGGAATTGAAAGTTCCTAACACAAATAATAAATGCTTGTGGTGATGAATATCCTAACTACCCTGATTTTATTATTACATGTTACATGCTTGTATCAAAATATCACACGTACCCCATCAATATGTACAACTAATATGGATCCACAATAATAAAAAATTATAAATGCCTTATAAAAATATTGCAAGGAGGGCATTATAAGAAAATTAGGGTTTGGCATATTAGAATATACTAGTCTGTATATTAAGTTTATCTTTGAATGTTGTCTGGGTATTGGCATATTAGAATATACTAGTCTGTATATTAAGTTTATCTTTGAATATTGTCTGGGTATCTGTGGATTTGACACATTTGTAAAAGTTAGGGGAGAAATTAGGAAACTATTCTGTAAGGAATAATCATAAAGTTATGTAACTCTGAAGAAAGAAATTAAACATCCATTTGTAACATAAAATACTTTTATACAAGCATTCAATATTTAAATGCATTCCATGTTATATAAAGAGTATACTAGCATTCAACATTTATATGTATTTCACTTTATCCTATGTATTCACAGTGTTCTAATACCACAAATTATAGGGCCTTAGAAATCAACCAGTCTGTTTTTCTCATTTTACAGGTAAGAAAATTGAAGCCAGGGAAGGTAAGTGATTTGCTGAAGGCCGCAGTCATGCCATGCAGTGGTAGGATCAGAATTCAGATTTCTTGAATCTCAACAAAATGTTTCTCCCACTACCCCAGACCAATGAAGTAAAAAGTGGTACCCACAGCAAAGACTAAAATCCAGACATATCAATAAATAATTTCATCGTTCTATGACAGAAACTAATAAGGGGACCCAATTTAGATTGGAGAACTTTTCCCTGCAGGCCAAAAAGAGAGTAAGTAAAGGAAATAAGCGGTTCAGGGAGCAGGGAGAATACAAAAGTGCATGAGCTTTCTCACTGCTGAGGTGAAAAAGAGTCCATGTTAGAAGAACTGAAAGATGGGCTGGAGTGTGGGGACCAGGGCAAAGTCCCCAAAAGGCTCTGGGGAGACAGACAGGCCCGCCCAAGCAGGCCATGTAGGTCTGGACTGGGTTTATCCTCACAGTAAAAAAATTTACAGAAGGTAGTTAAGCAAAGGGGGCATGTGACTATATTTTGACTCTTCGAATGTTTTTCCCCTTGAATATGCAAACTACATACACATTATCAAAGTCAAGAAAGTAGTATACATTAAAAATTATCTCCCTCTTATTCCTGTCCTACAACCTCCAAGTTCTCTGTCCAGGACCAAATACCTTAAATGTCCATCAGCTGGAGACAGGCACATCTGCATATAATGTGGCTCTTAAAAGGGAATTAAGAGGAATGAAGTCTATACTCTATTTGGTTAGGAATGCACAGTGTAGAATGGTATGCCTTGCATGCCACCTATGTAAAAAGTGGAAGCATTGTATAGAATGCTACTTTTTGGGTAAAAAAAAAAAAAAAAAAGGAAGAACTGCACATAAATGCTTGTCCATGCGTAGAGTACCTCTGGAAGGATTTGCAAGACAGTGTTGGCCCTTGGGAGGGGAATCAGCGACTGGGAGTTGGAGTGAAAAGCTGACTTAATTCTCATTCGATTTTCTGTTGTCTGTTTGAATCTGTACTATGTGCATGCCTTTTAAAAGCTTAGAAAGTAAACATGTAAAGAAAATCATTCCTCCCAGCTTCTTCCACACATGCTATCTCCCTCTTGTTCCCTTCACCTGCCTGCGGGAAGCTGGCCCAGCCTTTTGCCAGCTGCGCAGCCTCCACCCTCAAATCTGCACTCACTCTCTGATTACATGACCCTAGCCAACCTCCACTTTCTGAATTAATTCTTCACCAATTGATGTTGATGCCTTTTAGAAATGTTACATGCCTCATGGGAAAGCTTCTGCTTGAACTCTGTCCTGCTGATAATTTATTCTAATAACAAATTACATCATTCAGACTTCTGTTTATCACTCTTGCTTCCTATTCTTTCTACTCTGTCATCCCAAGTTTTCCTTGCCCATGGAAAACTGAACAGAAAACTGTAAGTAACTATTATAAAATGTTTATGATAAAAAGTAACTTGATTTAAATTTCAGTAGTAAAGCCAAGATAATTTTAAAGAGTTGAGGCTTGATAGGAACACACCTTTTGAAAGACCGTGAGACCAAAGTGCAGGAATGAGTTTGCCATGATGTACCTTTGATCCCTGAGAAATTGCCTTGTCCTAACATGTTCTGTTGCAGAAAAAGAAGTGGTAAAAACACATTTTAATAATGTATTCTATACATATATATAGAGAGAGACAGAGAATATATATACTATTGGCAACTCATTACCTAAAGTTAATATAGAGAAGTATCTATCGTATTATCAAACTACAGGAATCTGAAGCTTAGGGTTCTCCACAAAGTAGTAATTTCCATCCACAGTATTAACCTTCTAATCTTGGTTCTGTTGAGTTCAGCTACATGTTTTAAATTATTCTATTTCTCTAAATTCAGAAGACAAAAAACTTTTTTTGAGTGATACTTCCCTTCAACCAAAATGGGAGAAGGTAGAAAACTGTTAAACCAAGGACCTTTCTTAAAGTGTCTTCCAACACACTTATGGGATCAGTCATAATATTTATATATACTGAAGCACTTTGAAATCTCAAGCTGTTTTAACCAGCTGTCATTTTGGTGTTAAACTTCGGTCATTTTAATGTGAAACAAAGGTCAACAGAGAGTTTGTCTTATTCTTTTCCTATTAGTGAAATCCTTTATAGCTACTGAACTCTGCTTAAACTCCCAACAAAGTCACCATTGCATACTCCTGTTATCTAGGTCGCATGGAATATTATGATTGTTCACAAACAAAATACATAGAAGAAAATTAAAAAGATGAATTAGTATTTAAAGCATTATAAACAGCCAAACATACAAGCCGGTATGGTCTTTATATATTTGGCATTGATTATAATGACACATGTACATCTAAGAGTAACCTCTTGTATGTACACAGCACCAATTCAATTGTCTATGTATCTAAAATAAGACGGCATGGATACGTTTTCATTGTTCATTCTAGAACCTATACTGTAAAGATTATTTCAATTTTTGTTAAATTGTTGGCCTTTAAAATAAAGATACATTATTTATTTTTAAAGCTCATTCACTCAGTTTATTGTTTAATTACAAAATAGTATCTTTTGTCTTCCAATATGTATCCCTGGTTTACCTGGAGATTTTTTCTAAATTTTTAACTCTGACCATAAAGAAAATTAGCTAATATTCATCAGGATAGTAAATTGAACATAAGTATTTTATTATAAGAGTTAGCCATCATATAAAAAGTAAGGGCTTAGAATTATGCATTCAAATCATGACAAATGAGGAACAGTATTTGAATATACCCATGTAGTTCCCTTTAAATGAGCTTTAGCCTGTCTAAGTGATACATTCTTCTGTATAGTATTTTGCTATCGTTGGCACCTAGTTCATCCATCCATTGACCACAAATGTATTGAGCACCTACTATGAGCCAGGATGATTCTTAGTGCTGGAAAGCCAGTAGCGATTACAACAATAACTTACCCTCTGAGAACTTACACTTTAGATGAAAGAAATAAACACATGAACAAGTAAGTCATAAATTACAGACTAAAATAAGAAGGGTAATAGGACAGAGGGTGACTAGGGGAGGCACTATTGTAGTTGTGGTGATGGAGGCTGGCCTCTCTGGGGAGGTTGCATCTGAGCTGATGCCCAATCATGAGATGTCAGAACATCACTTTCCAGGGAGAAGAGGCAGCAGCAAGAACAAGAAACCTGGGCTTGGCATGTTCAAAGAGGAAGAAGGCAGCTAATTAGGGGTGAGAGGTGGGAGGTGAACTCAGTGAGATGGGCATGGTCCCTCTGAGGGGGGCTCTGTGGCCATGGAAGGAGTTTGTTTTCTGCTCTACTGGCAGTGGGACACCGCCACAAGGTCACTCTGGACACTGTGTGGAGACAGGCTGCAGGATGTCGCAAAGGTAGTGACTGTAGGAAAATAAAAAGCCTTTACAGCAATCCAGGCAAGAGAGGAGACGGATTTAGACTGAGGTTTAGCACAAGGTTTGTGTGTGGTGTGTATACGTGTGTTGGGGGGCAGGGTAGGCAGTAGTGGAAGCAATGGGTGCTATCAGGAGACTACTGAACAAATGAACCAGTATGGATAGCGTGGAACTGACTTTGAAGATAAAGTCAACAAAATTGCCACTAGATCAGATGTGGCTTGTGAAAGAGAAGAGTCAGGGGTGATTCCATGGGTTTTGGTCTGAGCAACTAGAAGAATGGAATCACCTGTTACTGAGGTGGGGGGAAGACTGTAAGAGGCACAAGTTTTGGGAGTAGGTAAGAATAGGGAGCTTGATTTTGGACATGGTAGATCTGAGGTTCTAATTAGATATCCAAGAGGAAATGTTGAGTAGGCAGTTGCATACATCAATTTAGAAGCTGAAAAGGGAGGTTGTGGCAGAAAATATACTTCAAGGAGGCATGGACTTTCATGAATCCCTTTGAAAGTCTGTTAAAACCCTCAGATTCCTTCTCTGAATAATTTTTTTTTTTTTTTGAGATGGAGTCTTACTGTGTCACCCAGGCTGTAGTACAGTGGCGCAATCTTGGCTCACTGCAAGCTCCACCTCCCTTGTTCATGCCATTCTCCTGCCTCAGCCTCCCAAGTAGCTGGGACTACAGGTGCCCACCACCACACCTGACTAATTTTTTGTAGTTTTTTTTTTTTTTAGTAGAGACAGGGTTTCACCGTGTTAGCCACGATGGTCTCAATCTCCTGACCTAATGATCCGCCCACCTCGGCCTCCCAAAGTGCTGGGATTATAGGCATGAGCCACTGCGCCCCGCCTGAATAATATTTTAAATGCATAAAATAAAACATTTTTATATTTTTGGTGTATCTAGAATTGGTATAAAAGAAAACAAATTATAAGAAAATATGTCATCAAAATATTTTAAAAGTTATTCTATAGTAAAATACATACTTTTAATTAACACATTAAATAATGATATCAATCAGTGAACATAGTAACCACAGTTACTTCAAAGAAGTCATGCACGTACTTATTTCAAGATATCTGTAAGAAGTGAAATGAGATGAAAATATCTGTAGATTTTTTTATTGGACAGCTACAGCTAATATTCCTATGGTTTGACTATCTAGGTTCACAATTGCAAGAAATACTAAATTTCATCTCCGGGTCAGTGAAGATAAAGAAAATGGAGAAATGTGGGCTTAAAGAGGAAGGCAGTTACACGGACATAGATCCAGGTAAGTTTGTAGATATGATGATGATGGGAGAAGGAAGAAATTCTCTTCTGTTGTTTTCATTTTCTTAGTGAAATATGATGCAAAACCACCAGTTCAGAGTGCGTGAAGGGGGACAGAGAGGAGGTAAGAAACAGTGATCTAGTTCTGCAGGTGAGTGAATGGATTTGAGCTACAGAGTCAGACCCATAAAGGCCATAGATTCGTGGTCATAAATTAAAATAAGGCCCCATCAGTGCAGTCATGTTTTTATTCAGCCAGATTTGGCTGCTCAGGTGGTGGCCACAGTTGGCAGGCAATCGAAATTATCTTTCAACCCGAGTTCATATGCGCGCATTTATCACCAAAAGGCCCTGAGCAAAAGATGATGAGACATGTCTGTTTCAGTGTAGTTTTATGTCTCTAGTTTTTAAATTATAAATAATTCAAACACTGGAAACTGACTAGTCCACTGGGAGCAGAGAAGTTCATTGCTAATAACTGGGGTGCATATTAGGTGAGTCTGTGCATCTTGGGCTCCTGTGGCTGATGATGCCAGGAGCTGAGTGTGAACACAAAAGTTTCAAGATTTATGGGACCTGAAGAGGCCAAAAACTTGTGGCCAGTCCCATATAACACAGCATACATCAAAGCAGTCCAGCAGGAACAAACACCACCCAACTGACAACTTTGTATACTTTTGCACAGTTTTGAAAGTGCTTGTAAAGTTACTCAAATCACAGTCACCCTATTTTTATTTACAGATTAAATCTGTATGAAAATTTAAAAGAGACAAATAAATCATCAAGAAATTTGTGCCTGTTTAAATATCTTCAATCTTATTCCTGCATTTGGCAAATAATTTCCGTGTACATGCTCTATTTCTTTATCAAGTCTTTTATTTACATGTTCGTTTCAATGTTGTTTTAGAATTCCAGTTCCTTGATAAGGAGTCATGTCTGTATTTAGAAAAACCCAGTGTTTCCTACTGTATCCTGCATCCAGGGAACATTAATCACCAGCATTTTCAATTTTATACAAAGTAAATTTAATTTTCATATGAAATACCTCCATCTCAGTCACTGGGTTCTATTTTATTAATTAATAGTTCTAATATGGCCATAAAACAGCTACTTTATCCACTTGGATAAAAAGTATGTTAAATTTACCGTTTAAATATGAAAGCAACAGTTTATAATATTTACTCAAATAGAGGCTTTAATTGGTTTGTGTAAGAGATAATATAGATATCTTTTATCTATCACACAGTACTCAGCCACAGTCAAAGTGGAGGATGGAAAGGTTGGTCATCAAATTGGGAAGTAAGAGGATACTGCTGAAGAGAAAAGCCAATATAAGTTTCAGTTATATACACACAGGCAGATACTGTCTAGAGTGTGCATCCAAAATGAAAATCTAGAAAGACCGGAAAAGCCTTGACAAATGGAAACAAAATTTCAACATTAAGCCTACTGCTAAAGGGCACTTCCAAACCTGTTAGATTAATTTATAAAAAAAGAAATGTAGTTTTCAAATATTCTTCTTTAGCTGAGCGCGGTGGCTCATGCTTGTAATCCCAGCACCGTGGGAGGCTGAGGCGGGTGAATCACTTGAGTTTAGGGGTACAAGACCAGCCTGCCCAATGTAGTGAAACCCCGTCTCTACTAAAAATACAAAAATTAACCAGGTGTGGCGGCGTGCACCTGTAGTCCCAGCTCCTGGGGAGGCTGAAGCAAGAGAATCGCTTGAATCCAGGAGGCGGAGGTTTCAGTGAGCCAAGATCGCGCCACTGCACTCCAGCTTGGGTGACAGAGCGAGAAATATTCTGCTTCAGACTCTTTGAGTCAAAAGACAATTTGAGGACAAGTGGAAAACTTAAACACACTGAAGTTTAGGGATGATATTAGCGTTCATTCTGATTAGGTGCAATTCTTGCATTGTGGTTACATAGGAGAATGTTCTCATTCGTGCCGGATGAATGCAGAAGTATGTAGGGCTGAGGTGTCTTATTGTCTACAACTTAAAGTTTTAGATGGTTCCAAAAAAAAAGGTGTGTGATGTGTGTGAAAGAAAGAAAGAAGAGGGGAAGG